>NC_000003.12:195215569-195366568 GCF_000001405.40 Homo sapiens
AAAGAAGGCCATTACATAATGGTAAAGGGATCAATTCAACAAGAAGAGCTAACTATCCTAAATATATATGCACCCAATACAGGAGCACCAAGATTCATAAAGCAAGTCCTGAGTGACCTACAAAGAGACTTAGACTCCCAAACATTAATAATGGGAGACTTTAACACCCCACTGTCAACATTAGACAGATCAAAGAGACAGAAAGTCAACAAGGATACCCACGAATTGAACTCAGCTCTGCACCAAGCGGACCTAATAGACATCTACAGAACTCTCCACCCCAAATCAACAGAATATACATTTTTTTCAGCACCACACCACATCTATTCCAAACTTGACCACATACTGGGAAGTAAAGCTCTCCTCAGCAAATGTAAAAGAACAGAAATTATAACAAACTATCTCTCAGACCACAGTGCAATCAAACTAGAACTCAGGATTAAGAATCTCACTCAAAACCGCTCAACTACATGGAAACTGAACAACCTGCTCCTGAATGACTACTGGGTACATAACGAAATGAAGGCAGAAATAAAGATGTTCTTTGAAACCAACGAGAACATACCAGAATCTCTGGGACACATTCAAAGCAGTGTGTAGAGGGACATTTATAGCACTAAGTGCCCACAAGAGAAAGCAGGAAAGATCCAAAATTGACACCCTAACATCACAATTGAAAGAACTAGAAAAGCAAGAGCAAACACATTCAAAAGCTAGCAGAAGGCAAGAAATAACTAAAATCAGAGCAGAACTGAAGGAAATAGAGACACAAAAAACCCTTCAAAAAATTAATGAATCCAGGAGCTGGTTTTTTGAAAGGATCAACAAAATTGATAGACCACTAGCAAGACTAATAAAGAAAAAAAGAGAGAAGAATCAAATAGACGCAATAAAAAATGATAAAGGGGATATCACCACCGATCCCACAGAAATACAAACTACCATCAGGGAATACTACAAACACCTCTACGCAAATAAACTAGAAAATCTAGAAGAAATGGATAAATTCCTCGACACATACACTCTCCCAAGACTAAACCAGGAAGAAGTTGAATCTCTGAATAGACCAATAACAGGAGCTGAAATTGTGGCAATAATCAATAGCTTACCAATCAAAAAGAGTCCAGCACCAGATGGATTCACAGCCGAATTCTACCAGAGGTACAAGGAGGAACTGGTACCATTCCTTCTGAAACTATTCCAATCAATAGAAAAAGAGGGAATCCTCCCTAACTCATTTTATGAGGCCAGCATCATTCTGATACCAAAGCCAGGCAGAGACACAACAAAAAAAGAGAATTTTAGACCAATATCCTTGATGAACATTGATGCAAAAATCCTCAATAAAATACTGGCAAAACGAATCCAGCAGCACATCAAAAAGCTTATCCACCATGATCAAGTGGGCTTCATCCCTGGGATGCAAGGCTGGTTCAATATACGCAAATCAATAAATGTAATCCAGCATGTAAACAGAGCCAAAGACAAAAACCACATGATTATCTCAATAGATGCAGAAAAAGCCTTTGATAAAATTCAACAACCCTTCATGCTAAAAACTCTCAATAAATTAGGTATTGATGGGATGTATTTCAAAATAATAAGAGCTATCTATGACAAACCCACAGCCAATATCATACTGAATGGGCAAAAACTGGAAGCATTCCCTTTGAAAACTGGCACAAGACAGGGATGCCCTCTCTCACCACTCCTATTCAACATAGTGTTGGAAGTTCTGGCCAGGGCAATTAGGCAGGAGAAGGAAATAAAGGGTATTCAATTAGGAAAAGAGGAAGTCAAATTGTCCCTGTTTGCAGACGACATGATTGTATATCTAGAAAACCCCATTGTCTCAGCCCAAAATCTCCTTAAGCTGATAAGCAACTTCAGCAAAGTCTCAGGATACAAAATCAATGTACAAAAATCACAAGCATTCTTATACACCAACAACAGACAAACAGAGAGCCAAATCATGAGTGAACTCCCATTCACAATTGCTTCAAAGAGAATAAAATACCTAGGAATCCAACTTACAAGGGATGTGAAGGACCTCTTCAAGGAGAACTACAAACCACTGCTCAAGGAAATAAAAGAGGATACAAACAAATGGAAGAACATGCCATGCTCATGGGTAGGAAGAATCAATATCATGAAAATAGCCATACTGCCCAAGGTAATTTACAGATTCAATGCCATCCCCATCAAGCTACCAATGACTTTCTTCACAGAATTGGAAAAAACTACTTTAAAGTTCATATGGAACCAAAAAAGAGCCCGCATCGCCAAGTCAATCCTAAGCCAAAAGAACAAAGCTGGAGGCATCACACTACCTGACTTCAAACTATATTACAAGGCTACAGTAACCAAAACAGCATGGTACTGGTACCAAAACAGAGATATAGGCCAACGGAACAGAACAGAGCCCTCAGAAATAACGCCGCATGTCTACAACTATCTGATCTTTGACAAACCTGACAAAAACAAGTAATGAGGAACGGATTCCCTATTTAATAAATGGTGCTGGGAAAACTGGCTAGCCATATGTAGAAAGCTGAAACTGGATCCCTTCCTTACACCTTATACAAAAATCAATTCAAGATGGATTAAAGACTTAAACGTTAGACCTAAAACCATAAAAACCCTAGAAGAAAACCTAGGCATTACCATTCAGGACATAGGCATGGGCAAGGACTTCATGTCTAAAACACCAAAAGCAATGGCAACAAAAGACAAAATTGACAAATGGGATCTAATTAAACTAAAGAGCTTCTGCACAGCAAAAGAAACTACCATCAGAGTGAACAGGCAACCTACAGAATGGGAGAAAATTTTCGCAACCAACTCATCCGACAAAGGGCTAATATCCAGAATCTACAATGAACTCAAACAAATTTACAAGAAAAAAACAAACAACCCCATCAAAAAGTGGGCGAAGGACATGAACAGACACTTCTCAAAAGAAGACATTTATGCAGCCAAAAAACACATGAAAAAATGCTCATCATCACTGGCCATCAGAGAAATGCAAATCAAAACCACAATGAGATACCATCTCACACCGGTTCGAATGGCAATCATTAAAAAGTCAGGAAACAACAGGTGCTGGAGAGGATGTGGAGAAATAGGAACACTTTTACACTGTTGGTGGGACTGTAAACTAGTTCAACCATTGTGGAAGTCAGTGTGGCGATTCCTCAGGGATCTAGAACTGGAAATACCATTTGACCCAGCCATCCCATTACTGGGTATATACCCAAAGGACTATAAATCATGCTGCTATAAAGACACACGCACCCGTATGTTTATTGCGGCATTATTCACAATAGCAAAGACTTGGAACCAACCCAAATGTCCAACAATGATAGACTGGATTAAGAAAATGTGGCACATATACACCATGGAATACTATGCAGCCATAAAAAATGATGAGTTAATGTCCTTTGTAGGGACATGGATGAAATTGGAAATCATCATTCTCAGTAAACTATCACAAGAACAAAAAACCAAACACAGCATATTCTCACTCATAGGTGGGAACTGAACAATGAGATCACATGGACACAGGAAGGGGAATATCACACTCTGGGGACTGTTGTGGGGTGGTGGGAGGGGGGAGGGATAGCATTGGGAGATATACCTAATGCTAGATGACGAGTTAGTGGGTGCAGCGCACCAGCATGGCACATGTATACATATGTAACTAACCTGCACAATGTGCACATGTACCCTAAAACTTACAGACCTCCCATGGCAGTGAGTAAAAGTACAAAAAGTACAGAACAAATAAATGAAAACTCAATATGGCTTTTACTACATTTGTCAAATTTTACTTAAGGAAAAAAGAAAAGATGGTATTTTAAAGGCTTTCTGCAAAAGGCCACACACACACTGACCTCAGTGTTTCAGGGCAGGCAGGCAGGAAGGGAAGAAGGAATGAGGAAGGGAAGGAGGGAGGGAAGGAGCTGCTGGTCTAGAATTTCCCATGTGGGTTTTGCCCCAAGCCTGCAGGCATTCTGGCCCTGCCTCAGTTCTTTCTCATGCAGGCCTGTGAACCTAGGCTAAGAAGCATCCAGTGTCAACTACCTGAATCTTACACCAGCCTTTGCCACCCAGCAGCACTGACCCAAAGTGGACCCAAGAATGTCCTTGAAAGAGACCAACCATCTGCCTGCAGCCTCAAGACAGTAAGGCCCCCATGACAGACACTGAAATAAGGACTCTCAGGGGTGATAACACTCAGGAGGCCAGGAGAGCTGGATGGGGCCACCCCAATTTGTTGCCAGCTGGCTTTGCTGTTCTTTTCTACAATGGCAAGCGTCACACTAGGCTTCAAGAGATTCGGGCAGAGGCTCGGGCCCAAATCCTACCTTTTGAGGGATTTTATAACAGCTTGCATTTGTCTGGTCTTTTATCCACTCCCATAGATCTCCGCAGGAAACGAGCAGGCTGGGGCTGATGGTGGCAATAATCACATGCTAAATGTTATGGAGATTTCAGAAACCCTGATGCTGGGAGCTGGGGGGAGGGGAGGCTGGGGCGGATATATGAAGCATTTTTGGCAGCATTACTTTTTCTGTTGTTTGAGACAGAGTCTCACTCTATTACACTGTTACCCCGGCTGGAGTACAGTGGTGCTATCTAGGCTCACTGCAACCTCCGCCTCCTGGGTTCAAGCGATTCTCCCGCCTCAGCCTCCCAAGTAGCTGGGACTACAGGCGCCCATCACCACACCTGGCTAATTTTTTTGTATTTTTAGTAGAAATGGGGTTTCACCATGTTGGCCAGGCTGGTATCGAACTCCTGACCTCAGATGATCCGCCCGCCTCGGTCTCCCAAAGTGCTGGGATTACAGGCGTGAGCCACCTCGCCCGGCCGGGCCCATGCTCTTAACCACGACACCATAGGGCCTCTTTTAAATAACCTCCCAAGATCACGAAGCCTTGACCTTGGGAGTCACAGTGTTGCAATCTGCACTCAGCTCTGTCCGATCCTGAGCCTGGACTCCTACTCTCTCTGATACACCAATCCCCCTTTCAGCCTGCTCAGACCTGCCTGCCTCAGTGCTCCCTACACTGGACATTAAGAGACGATCAGACGCAGCCACTCACAGCCCCGAGCAGTACAATGAATGGAGCCTATCGCATGAAATGCTGAAGGGGTCCTTCGAAGCCTCTGGGCTCCCACAGCCCATGGCCAGTGGCACCTGTCAGGAGGCAGACACTACCAGCAGGTTGTGTGTGATGGGGTCCAAGCAAGGGACATGTGACCTTTGAAAAGTGACTATCCACATTCTTTAAGCATGGATGACATAGAGTGACTTCCCTCCAAAGAATATAGTATGGCAAGGGGGAAAAGAATAATTTACAGTGGAGAAACCTGACAAACACGACTTCAGCCCAGTGATCGAGGTCAACAGCAACAGTGATAAACCATGTACCCTTGATAGAATGTGGTGTGTCACTGATATGATGTGAGGGAAACAGCTCTTCTCCTCCACGGCATTCCTCCCATAACCTCCCAAAAACCCGTAACCTCAGTCTAATGATGAGAAAAACATCAGATAAATCCTAATTGGGAAACACTCTATAAAACAGCTGACCGGTATTTCTCAAAACTGTCAAGGTCATCAAAAACAAGGCAAGTTGGAGAAAATTTCACAGCCACCTCCTCCAGGAAGGCTTCCTTCTTCCTGCAAATGCCTGTGACCTGTCCTCTTCTGAAGCCCTCAGCATTGGGTGGCTCTTCATGTTGCCTGCCCTCATTGCTGGACCATGCCACCTGCCCCACTGACATGAGCCCATGAAGCAGCAGCCCAGCAAACATCTCTGAGACACCCAGGGTGGCCAGCACCATGTCTTGCAAACAGTAGCGCTTAGCATAGGCTGGGTATTGACAAAGGATTGACTGCAGGACAGGAGAGCCTTCCAGGGGTGCATGGGGGATGACAGGAGAGTCTCCTGGGGGCCTCTGGCCAGCCTAGAGCCCTGCTGCTTGTCTGGAGGCCTGCCTGCCCTGCTCAGGGAGAACCCACAACCACAGAGCATGCGCCCTAGCACAGCCCATACTGCTGAGCTGGAGCCAGCAGCGCCTCAGGCCATGTGACCCAGGAGGGGGAAGCTGGCAGTCCTGGAGGAGTTGCCCTTGGCTCCCTCCAGCTCCAGTGCGGCAAAAAATGTTTTTTTTTTTCCATTGCATAAGATGCTTCCAGTGGCGACAAACCCAACACCACAGACAAATGGAAATAAAAGCCCCGTGGATGTGGGTGAAGAGCAGAGAGTGGCTGTGTCTGTGGAGGGCACACAGGCAGGCAAGCATGAGCAGCGAGACCAGCCGCATGTGAATCCCCAACAAGCAAGGAAGAGAAAAACAAGCTCTGACCAAAGTCAGAGCCAGCATGTCCCGCCTGGCAGGACCCCTTCGTTCTTCCTGAGGCCCTTGCTCAGATGTGGTTCTGGGCGCTCCTGCTCCAAGGGGGCGATCAGGGCAAAACTCATGGGTTTGACCAGCCCAACCCTATCCCAGCCAGGTCCCCTCTGTGGGGCTGCGACATGGGGCCCAGAAGACAGGCAAGGATGCCAAGTCCTGTAAGTTTCACAGGGCTGGGCATGTGTAAGAGGCTGGGTGTCCACATCTGGACATCAGAATGGGCATAAGCTCCGGACTGAGAACTCCCAGGGCAAGGAGGACACAGATCGCTGGAGAACTCGGAGAAGCGGCCTAACCTCTCAGCTCCTCCCTTTCCTTTCCTGTCCAGTGGGGACAGCCACTGTCTCGAAGCTCTTAAGTGGCTGCCTGAGGTGGCCCATGTGAGAGGTCAGACACTAACAGGCTTAGAACTGTACAGACACCAGTAGGCTTCAAACTATACAGAAGCTCACCTGTGTGAGTCGACAACCCTGGGCGGCTGGGGGTTGACACACCCTGGCCTTATAAGGGTCACCTCTGGCCCAGTAATGCTACCCTTGGGAGCTATCATAGGGAAGAATCCTAATGAGAGAAAATAATCTGTATGCATGTGGATATCCATCGTATAATTTACAATACTAGAAAATATAGAAAGCAGCTAGCTAGCTGAGAACAGGGAAATGAGAAAGTGAACGGAGGTTCATCTACTCAATAAAACCATTCAAAAAATTTTCAAAGACTATAATTACACAGAAAATGGGGACGTGAGCCATTAACTGAAAAAATCATGACATAGCTTCATTTGTACAATTTCTTTCATGGGGGTTGAAATGAAGATTCAACTTCAAATCTTCATCTATAAAAAAAGACTCAGAATGATTTGATATATAGGATAACTCCTACTTTGCCTAAATGTTTAAAAAGCTACATGTTGGGAATATAAAGAAGATAAAGAATCAGTAATGATGGCCAGGTGCAGTGGCTCACACCTGTAATCCTAGCACTTTGGGAGGCCAAAGCGGGCAGATCACGTAAGGTCAGGAGTTCGAAACCAGCCTGGCCAATATGGTGAAACCCCATCTCTACTAAAAATACAAAAAAAAAAAAAATTAGCCGGACATGGTGGCGGGTGCCTGTAATCTCATCTACTTGGGAGGCTGAGGCAGGAGAATTGCTTGAACCCGGGAAGCAGAGGTTGCAGTGAGCCGAGGTTGTGCCACTGCACTCCAGCCTGGGCGAGAGTGAGACTCTGTCTCAAAAAAAAAGTAAGCACATTTTAAAAATAGTTTAGGTACAGAAGGATGACCCTCATGCTACAGAAGGGAAGGCGGGAGGAGAGCTTTAAACACAGAAAAAGAATTTGGATTTCTGGGGCAAACACTAGACAGGACCTCCAGGAGGAACTCAGAGGAGCACAGGCTTTTCTGACCCAGCCCTCCTGGGTGAGACCAAGGGTTCAGGCTCCACCCATACTCCACTCTCACTTTCCTGGAGAAAAACGAATGCTATGAAAGAAACAGAATAGCCAATGTAACAAGAATGCAGCAATTACATGACAACAAAACCATCAACCAAAGCACAAAACAACACTCATTTCTATGATTAAAAAACAATGAATGCAAAAAAGGCAGCAGTTAAGAATCATGACAAACTCAAGACAGCACGAATGATGTCTGAAAACAGAGTGTCCTTCCAAAAACTGCAGGAATTCCAAATGATCTCGGTAGGAACTCCCCAGTGCTGCCAAGTGTGCCAGGCCAGACTTCCTGGCAGGACACACCCCAGACGCCACAGGAAACTCAAGGACCGCTCATTTTATTTTATGACTATCAAATTTTAGTAACTCCTAATAACTGTTTTCTTAGGAAAAGGCTTTGGGGCACATGTAAAAATGAATTGCTGCCGGGCGCGGTGGCTCATGCCTGTAATCCCAGCACTTTGGGAGGCCGAGGCGGGCGGATCATCTGAGGTCAGGAGTTTGAGACCAGCCTGACCAACATGGAGAAACTCCGTCTCTACTAAAAATACAAAACTAGCCAGGCGTGGTGGCACATGCCTGTAATCCCAGCTACTCGAGAGGCTGAGGCAGGAGACTCGCTTGAACCCAGGAGGCAGAGGTTGCAGTGAGCCGAGATTGCTAAACCACTGCACTCCAACCTGGGCAACAAGAGCAAAACTCCGCCTAAAAATAAAAAAGAATTGCTGGAAGCACATTATCACTCCCCTGAAGAACCCCTGAAAAGACTGTGTGTTTGGGTCGGCTGGAGGCACATCTAAAATAACTCCTTCCCCACCTCCTGATGCATGCCCCTCAGAGGGTGGGGCCCACACCTGGAGGGACACCAATGATGCGTCCATTTACTGCATCGACTGCAAAGCTCTAGCCAGAGCCTTTTCTCTGCAGACATCACTGCCCCCCTGAGCTATGCCAGGCTCTTGGACAGGGCTAAGTCAGAGAGGGCCAGAGCACCTTCCTGGCATAATTCTCACCCTCTCCCAGAGCTTAGGAGCTCCCTAACTCTTGTCATCGGTCCCTGCACAATTCATTGCCTGGCTGTCCTATAGCTGGAGGCAGAAGAATTTTCTCTTCCCTGACAAACCACGAGGAGCTGTATTTCACCTCCTGCTGGGTACTCCACAGCATAACCCAGCCCAGAGTTGAGCACGCAATGGGCAGGAACCTGACAGCTGACAGAGGGAAAGAGGCAGGAGGGAGGGAGGTGAAGGGAGGGCAGGCGTGCCTCCCCCTGGCTCCCTAGAACTACAGAAACCCCTAGCGGGGATTCCTGCAAGCCCTGGGCTCTTCAGAATGCAAGTTGAAACAGCTCACTGCCGCAGCCCCTCATTTCACAGGTGGGGAAACTGGTGAGGCCAAGAGAGACAAAGTGGCTCAGCCCTAGGCACATACGTGGCTAATGGCGGAGCTGTGAGCAACACCTCCATCTGTCTGCCCTCTAGAATCTAGAACAGAACCACGTCCTTCTCAAGTCTGAGCCACCCACAGCTCCTGTACTGGGCTGTCCAGAGAGGTCATGTATGGGGCACCTGATGGGGTAGAAGTAACTATTTGGAGAAGCAGCTTCCAACCCTGGCTCTGCCACTTAAAAGGCTGTATAACCCTGGGCAGGTCTTGCAACTCCTCAGCTTCACCTGTAACCCCACAGGATGGGTAGAAGGGTTGGTGAGCTGACAGAGCTGCACCTGGGTCACTGCAAAGGCTCACCAATGCTAGATCTTCACCCTAGGCCCTGTCGGTGAGCTCGTCTCCTCTCTTCTTCAGACTCCTGCCCAGTGGAGCCCCCTGAGCCCTTGCCTCACAACAAAGAGGACACTCAGAGGCCTCCAGAGTGCTGGAACTTGCCTGCAAAGTCCCAGCCAGAATGGATGGGCTTGCTTTTCCCTGTGGCAGGACAACCTCCCAACAGGAACCGAGCTTCAACTCTCAACTCCTGAGTCTCTGGTTCACCAAGCACCTTCTTTTTCACTTCTGGTCTGCTGGGCTGGAGGAGCAGGCCTCCACCATATGGCCCACTGTCCCCTGGGCTACCAGGACCTGCCTGGTCTGGAAACTGCTGGAAAACTCATCCAGCCACAGTTCAGATAACTGCTACCCTAAGGCCCCAAACACCCCTTCTCACCATTAAGAGGCTCAGGACATGGTTCACCATGGCCAGAAACTGGTTGATATGGTTTGGCTGTGTCCCCACCCAAATCTCATCTTGAATTGTAGTTCCCATAATCCCCACATGTGGTGGGGGGGACCTGGTGGGGGGTAATTTAATCATGGGGGGCAGTTATCCTCATGCTGTTCTCATGCTAGTGAGTGAGTTCTCTGAGATCCAACGGTTTTATAAGGGGCTTTTCCCCCTTTTCCTTGGCACTTCTCCTTGGTGTCGGCATGTGAAGAAGGACGTATTTGCTTCCCCTTCCATGACTGTAAGTTTCCTGAGGCCTCCCCAGCCATGCTGAACTGTCTATTAAACCTCTTTCCTTTATAAATCACCCAGTCTCAGGTATGTCTTTATGAACAGCGTGAGAACAGATTAATACACTGGTCAATATCCAGGGCTCCAGAACCCATTAAGGATCACTGTAGGGAGATCCTAGAAACCAGACACACTCTAGGAGTTAGACCCTCCAAGGCTTCCAGTCCAAGCATGACCAGACCTGCCAGAAATTCCACATAAGCTGGACCTATCACACACTGGATGATGCATCTCTCTTTCCTGGAGACAGACGCCCAGAAAATCCTTCTAATTGCGCATCAGAGTTTCTTCAGAAGTTCTACATGGTCGTAATTTGCACCTCTCACATCTAGATTTGCTATTTTAAAATCAGATAAATACAGATTCAAACTAGAAAGAACAAGAGCATAAATTTGGATGGAGGATCATCTAATCCAACCCACCATTTTTCAGATGAGCAAACAAAGTATGGGGGTTGAGCAGTGGGGAAAGAAGGGGGCGAGTGCAAGGGGCAGAGTCCAGACCAGAGCCCAGAGACCCCCTGTGTCCTCATAAATGGACCCCGGGAGCTATGCAACCAAGGCCCTGCCCTTGATTCTTGGTGTAGGAAGCTCGGTGGTACAAAGGGCTTGGTCTGGCTCCCTCGTCCACTCTTTCATGTTCAGTGGAGCTATTCTCCCTGATACAGGGCCTGGGCAGTGTTGGAACCAGGGAAATGGATGCAAAAGTCAGACACCCAGGGGCTATTGCTCCTGGAAGCCCAGGTTACCTTTGGGCATGATCTGATGCATGGCGACCGAGAGGAAGAAGATGGAGTCACTGTAGTAGGTTCCCAAGCCAGCACTGAAGTGCTTCTGCATGGCCTCCACGATGGGGAAGAGCTTATCCGTCAGCACAGCAACATCGTGGAAGATGACCTGCAGCAGGTGCAAAAAAAACCAAGGCTCAGCAAACCAGTTCTCACTGCAAGCTCAACACCCAACAAGCACCTGGGCCCACAGAGGCAGAGGCAGACAGTGCCTCTCCAGGGTCCACAAGCAGGGGATGGGGCTAGGGGTAGCAACGGAGAGTTAAGGAAACGAGAAACAACCAGGAGTCAGAATTGAGGCCGCACTAAGGAGATGGGGACACTGTGTGAGGGGTGGCATGCAGGCATGCATGTACGGGCTGTGCAGTGGAAGAGAAGTGGGAGGACAGGAAATGGAAACAGCCCCTAGTCTGCTTCCTGCTTTTGAACATGAAGCTGGGCCCCCCTGAAGGTAGCTCTGTGCCCAGCGACTGGAAACCACGTGAGAGTGTGTGATCCTCATCACATTGCATGGCTAACACTGCTCCAGGCATCGCCACCTCCTGGTGGCCACTGCATCTGTTCCATAGGCCAGTCCGATGCTCCAGCTCTACCTCCCTCATCCAACAGTGTGAACAAGGAGAGGGTCTGGCCACTGGAAAATGGAACCCGGAAACTGCTCTGTGCTGCAGTAAACTCACACTCAACTAGCATTTCTTGAGTATCACTGACACTCTGGAGGCACTGTGAGAAGTATAAGGAATAACCAGGTACACTTTCCTCAAAGCACTTAGAAGTCCAGAGGTATAATCAGCTACGGCAGAGCTTTGCAATTTATGAAACACTCTCACATACCCACACTGATCCCCACGACAACCTAGGGCTTCTGTGAGGCAGACATCACTATTATAGCCTCCAAATTACAAATAAGGACGCAGACACTCAGACAGGTTACACTTGCAGCAAGTCACACAGATAATAAATGCAGAGTCAGAACTTGACCCTGGCCTCCAGATTCTCAGCCCCACACTCTTTCCACCATAAACGCATCCTCATTCCTTAACAGCAACCAACAAAGGATGAAGACATCAGCTCAACCCGCGATTAGAGCAGACAAGAGTACTAACGCGATCCTGAGTTGGGTTTCCTTGTCTAACTCTACTCCAGAAGATGAGAAGTATGGCCCATGCGCAGCCCCAGCTTCACATGTGATACCAGATGACCATGTACTGGTCCCACAGGTCTTGCAAGTTTTTCCTGTTGTTCCATGTGCCCCCACAGGATCTAGATCCTTCTACGACACACAGGAGGCACTCAAGCCAGAAGGCTGGGTGTTCCTCCACCTTCTTCCTCAGTGCTCCTAAGAGTTCTGCAAGCGCCACCTCCCGCCACCATCTTCTCTGGTATGTGACAGGACAAGCCTGCCACACTGCATCCTAGCTGCTCAATCACCACCTCATCAACTCCGAAGAGCCCACCTGAACAGGTGCCAGCAGCAAAAGGCAAAGCCACGTGAACCCCTGACTGCCCTGTTTACACTGTCACTTGCCCTGCCAGACAGTGGCAAGTGGTGCCCTTGAAGCTCTCCAATAGGCGGGCTCCACTCCATCACTCACCTTTCCCCTTTCCCTCCACCTGCCCTTCCAGTCTCAGGGTGCTGCCTGCACTACCTGCACTTCCAGAGCCATCGGTGGTCGTGGCCCTGTAAACCACCGTCTGCTCTTCCCTACTGTTGGTTCTGCTTTTGGCCTATATTTCACTTTTTTTTTTTTTTTTTTTTTTGAGATGGAGTCTCACTCTGTCAACCGAGGCTGGAGTACAGGGGTGCAATCTGGGCTCACTGACACCGCCTCCCGGGTTCAAGCGATTCTCCTGCCTCAGCCTCCCAAGTATCTGGGACTACAGACGCCCGCCACCACCCCCAGCTAATTTTTTGTATTTTTAGTAGAGATGGGGTTTCACCATGTTAGCCAGGATGGTCTCGATCTCCTGACCTCGTGATGCGCCCGCCTCGGCCTCCCAAAGTGCTGGGATTACAGGCATGATCCACCACACCCGGCCTATTTCCCTTATTTCTTCTATATGTATCTCTTTTTTTTTTTCGAGACAGAGTTTCACTCTTGTTGCCCAGGCTGGAGTGCAGTGGCGTGATCTCGGCTCACTGTAACCTCTGCTTCCCAGGTTCAAGTGATTCTCCTGCCTGAGCCTCCCAAATAGCTGGGATTACAGGCGCCCACCACCATGCCTGGCTAATTCTTCTACTTTTAGTAGAGACAGGGTTTCACCATGTTGGCTAGGCTGGTCTCGAACTCCTGACCTCAGGTGATCCACCCACCTCAGCCTCCCAAAGTGTTGGATTACAGGTATGAGCCACCGCGCCCGGCCTGTATCTCTTACATAGCTTATTTCTCTTATATTTCTTTTTAACCTATATCTCTCTTAGTTCACCTTTCCTTTTATTCTTGGGTCTCTTTTAATTTCTAAAACACTATTAAATTTAGAAAAACTTTGTTACTATTTTTTTATTTTTAATTTTTGTGGATAGAGTATGTATATATATTTATGGAGTATATGAGATATTTTCATACAAGCATACAATGCATAATAATCATATCAAGGTAAATGAGGTATCCATCACCTCAAGCATTTATCCTTTGTGTTACAAACAATCCAATTATTTTAGTTATTTGAAAATGTGTAATTAAACTACTTTTTACTGTAGTCATCCTATTGTGCTAGCAAATACTAGGTCTTACTCACCCTTTGCCAATATTTTTTGTATCCATTAACCATCTCCTCCTCCCCCAACTCACTCCACTACTTTTCCCAGCCTCTGATAACCATCATTCTAATCTCCATCTCCACGAGTTTAACTGTTTTAATTTCTACCTCCCACAAATAAGAACATGCAAAGTTTGTCTTTCTGTGCCTGGCTTATGCCACTTAACAAAACGATCTCCGGTTCCATCACTGTTGTTGCAAATGACAGGATCTCATTCTTATTTATGGCTGAATAGTACTCCATTTTGTATATGTACTGTTTTCTTTTTCCATTCATCAGCTGATGGAACCTTAGGCTGCTTCCAAATCCCAGCTATTGTGAATAGTGCTGCAATAAACATGGGGGTGCAGATATGTCTTCGATATACTTAATTCCTTTCTTTTGGGTATATATCTAGCAGTGGGATTGCAGGATCATATGCTAGCTCTATTTTCAGTTTTTTGAGGAACCGCCAATCTGTTCTCCATAGTGATTGTACTAATTCACACCAACAGTATATGAAGGTTCCCTTTTCTCTACATCCTCACCAGCATTTGTTACTGCCTGTCTTTTGGAGAAAAACCATTTGAACTGGAGTGAGATGATATCTCATTGTAGGTTTGATTTGCATTTTTCTGATGATCAATGATGTTGAGCACCTTTTCATATACATGTTTGCCATTTGTATGTCTTCTCTGGAGAAACATCTATTCAGATATTTTGCCCAATTTTTAATTAGATTATTAAATTTTTTTCCTACAGGGTTGTTTGAGCCCCTTATATAATCTGGTTATTAATCCCTTGTCAGATAGACAGTTTACAAATATTTTCTCCCATTCTCTGGGCTCTCTCTTCACTTTGCTGATTGTTTCCTTCACTGTGCAGAAGCTTTTCAACTGGATGTGATCCCATTTGTCCATTTTCACTTTGATTGCCTATGCCTGTGGTGTATCACGCAAGAAATCTTTGCCAAGTCCAATGTCCTGGAGAGTTTCCCCCAATGTTTTCTTTTGGTAGTGTCATAATTTGTGGTCTTAGATTTAAGTCTTTAATCCACTTTGTTTTTTTATATGGCAAGAGAGAGAGGTCTAGATGCATTCTTCTGCATAAGGTTATCCAGTTTTCCCAGCTTCATTTATTAAAGAGATTGTCCTTTCCCCAGTGTATGTTCTTGGAACCATTGTCAAATATGAGTTCATTGTAGATGTATGGATTTATTCCTGGGTTCTCTATTCTGTTGCATTGGTCTACGTGTCTGTTTTTATGCCAGAACCATGCTGTTTTGGTTACTATAACTCTGTAGTATAACTTGAAGTCACATCATGTAATTCCTCCAGTTTTATTCTTTCTGCTCAAGATAGCTTTGGCTATTCTGGGTCTTTTGTGGTTCCATATAAATTTTAGGATTTTTTTCCTATTTCTGTGAAGAATGTCATTGGTATTTTGATTGGGATTGCATTGAATCTGTAGATTGCTTTGGGTAGTATGGAAAGTTTAACAATATTGGTTCTTCCAATCCATGAATATGGCTTATCTTTCCATTTCTTGGTGTCCTCTTCAGTTTCTTGCATCAGTGTTTTATTGTTTTCATCCTAGAGAGCTTTCACTTGTTTGGTTAATCCCTAGGTATTTTATTTGTAGCAATTATAAATGGAATTACTTTCTTGATTTCTTTTTCAGATTGTTCACTGTTGGCATATAGAAATGCTAATGATTTTTGTATGTTGAATTTGTATTCTGCAACTTTACTAAATGTATTGATTAGTTCTAATCAATACATTTTTTGTTTTGTTTTTTGGTGGAGTCTTTAGGTTTTTCCAAATAGGAGGTCATATCATCTGCAAACAAGTGTAATTTGACTTCTTCCTTTCCCATTTGGATAGGCTTTATGTCGTTCTCTTGTCTGATTGCTCTAGCTAGGATTTCCAGTACTATGTTGCTATTCAACATAGTGGGCATCCTTGTTATTTCAGATCTTAGAGGAAAGGCTTTCAGTTTTTCCCCATTCAGTATGATTATTTGCTGTGGGCCTGTTGCATATGGCTTTTATTATATTGAGGTATGTTCCCTCTATACTCAGTTTTTTGAGGATTTTTATCATGAAGTGATGTTGAATTTTATCAAATGCTTTTTCAGCATCAACTGAAATGATCATATGGTTTTTGCCCTTCATTTAGTTGATATGATGTATCACACTGATTGGTTTGTGAACGTTGAACCATTCTTGTATCCTTGGGATAAATTCCACTTGGTCATGATGAATGATTTTTTTTTTTTTTTAAATGTACTGCTGACTTTGGTTTGTTAGCATTTTGTTGAGAATTTTTGCATCAGTGTTCATCAGGGATACTAGCCTATAGTTTTCTTTTACTGATGTGTCTGTCTGGTTTTTGGTATCAGGGTAATTCTGGCCTCATAAAATGAGTTTGGAAGTATTCCCTCCTCCCCTATTTTTCAGAATAGTTTGAGTAGGGTTGGTATTACTTCTTCTTTAAATGGTAGAACTTAGCAGAGAAGCCATTGCATCCTTGGCTTTTCTTTGCTAGGAGACTTATTATGGCTTTGATCTAATTACTTGTTATTGGTCTGTTCAGATTTTGGATTTCTTCATGATTCTATCTTAGTAGGTTGTATGTGTCTAGAAACTTATCCATTTCTTCTAGGTTTTCCAATTTATTGGTATATAGTTGTTCACAGTAGCCACTAATGATCCTTTGAATTTATGCAGTATGAGTTGTAATATCTCCTTTTTCATCTCTGATTTTATTTATTTGGGTCTTCTCTCTTTTTTTTCTTAGTCTGGCTAAAGGTTTGTCAATTTTATCTTTTCAAAATACCAAAAAAAAACTTTTCATTTCATTGATCTTTTGTATTGTTTACTCTGTTTCAATTTCATGTATTTCTGCTCTAATTTTTATTACTTCTTTTCTTCCACTAACTTTGGGTTTGGTTTGCTGTTGCTTTTCTAGTTCTAAGACGCATCATTAGGTGGTTTATTTGAACTTTTTCTTCTTTTTTGATGTAGGCATTTATAGCCATAAACTTCTCTTAGTACTGCTTTGCTGTATTTCATAGGTTTTGGTATGTTGTGTTTCTATTATCATTTGTTTCAAGAAATTTTTCAATTTCTTTCTTAACCTCTTCATTGACCAACTGGTCATTCAGAGGCATATTGTTCAGTTTCCATGTGTTTGTATAGTTTCCAAAATTCCTGTTATTAATTTCTAGTTTTATTCCATTGTAGTCAGAGAAGATACTTGATATTATTTCAGTTTTTTGGAATGTTTTAAGATTTGTTTTGCAACCTAGCATATGGTCTATCCTTGAGAATGATCCATGTGCTGAGCAGAAGAATGTGTATTCTGCAACTATGGAATGAAATGTTCTGTAAGTATCTATTAGGTCCATTTCGTCTATGGTGCAGATTAAGTCTGATGTTTCTTTGTTGATTTTCTGTCTGGATGATCTGTCCAATGCTGAAAGTGGGGTGTTGAGGTCTCCAGCTATCATTGTATTGGGGTCTATCTCCATCTTTCACTCTGATAATATTTGCTTTATATATCTGAGTGCACTAGTGTTGGATGCATATATAACTGTTATATCCTTATGCTGAATTGACCCCTTTATCATTATACAACAAACTTGTCTCTTTTTATATTTTTTTCTTGAAATCGATTTATCTGATATAAGTATAGCTACTTCTGCTCCTTTTTGGTTTCCGTTGGCATGAAATATCTTTTGCCATACCTTTATTTTCAGTCTATGTGTGTTTTTATAAATGAAGTGTGTTTCCTGTAGGCAATAGATCATTGGGTCTTAAAAAAAATCTATTCATTCACTCTTTGTCTTTTGATTGGAGAGTTTACTCCATTTACATTCAATGTTATTATTGATTAAGTAAGGACTTACTCCTGCCATTTTGTTATTTGTTTTCTAGCTGTTTTCTGGTCTTCCCTTTTAGTAAAGGTGATTTTCTCTGGTGTTATGTTTTATTTTCATGCTTTTTACTTTTTCATATCCATTGTATGTTTTTAGACTTGAGGTTGCCATGAGATTTGCAAATAATATTTTATAACACATTATTTTAAACTGATGACAAATTAACACTGATTACATAAACAAACATACTAAAAAACAAGCAAAAAGAAAACTAATAAAAACTCTATAACTTCATCTCCCCACTTTTTAACTTTTTGTTGTTTCTATTTACATCTTGCTGTACTGTCTTGAAAAGTTATTATTTTTGATTGGTTTATCTTTTCATCTTTGTACTTAAGATATCAGAAATATACACATTGCAATTATAGTGTTTTAACAGTCTGTGTTTTTCTCTGCACCATTACCAGTGAACTTTTCACCTGCAGATGATTTCTTATTGCTCATTAACATCCTTTTATTTCAGACTAAATAAATCCCTTTAGCATTTTTGTTTTGTTTTGTTTTGTTTGAGATGGAGTCTCACTCTGTCACCCAGCATGGAGTGCAGTGGTGCGATCTCGGGTCACTGCAAGCTCCGCCTCCCAGGTTCATGCCATTCTCCTGCCTCAGCCTCCCAAGTGGCTGGGACTACAGACGCCCGCCACTACGCCCAGCTAATTTTTTTTTTTTTTTAGTAGAGACGGGGTTTCACCATGTTAGCCAGGATGGTCTCGATCTCCTGACCTTGTGATCCGCCTGCCTCGGCCTCCCAAAGTGCTGGGATTACAGGCGTGAGCCACTGCGTCTGGCCAGCATTTCTTGTACGATAGGTCTGGTATTGATGAAATCCATCAAGCTTTTGTTTGTCTGGGTAAGTCTTTATTTCTCCTTCATGTTTGAAGGATTTTTTTTTTTTTTTTTTTTTTTTTTGAGACAGAGTCTCACTCTGTCGCCCAGGCTGGAGTGCAGTGGCACAATCTCAGCTCACTGCAACCTCTTGCCTCCCAGATTAAAGCGATTGTCCTGCCTCAGCCTCCCAAGTAGCTGGGATTACAGGCGTCTGCCACCATGCCTGGCTAATTTTTATATTTTTAGTAAAGACGGGGTTTCACCATCTTGGCCAGGCTGGTCTTGAACTCCTGACCTCAAGTGATCCACCTGCCTCAGCCTCCCAAAGTGCTCGGATTACAGGCATGAGCCACCGCACCCAGCCTGAAGGATATTTTTGCCATATATGCTATTTAAGTTTTTTCCCTTCAACACTTTAAGTATGTCATGCCACTCTCTCCTGGCCTGTAAGGTTCTCACCAAAAAGTCTGCTGCCAGACGTACTGGAGCTCTATTTTATGTCATTTGTTTATCTTGCTACTTTTAGGATCCTTTCTTTATTCTTGACTTTTGAGAGTTTGTTATTAAATGCCTTGAGGTAGACGTCTTTGGGCTAAATCTGCTTGGTGTTCTATAACCTTCCTGTACTTGAATATTTATATCTTTCTCTAGGTTTGGGAAGTTCTCTGTTATTATCCCTTTAAATAAACTTTCTACTGCTGTCTCTCTCTCTACCTCCTCTTTA
Source organism: Homo sapiens (assembly GCF_000001405.40). Classification (NCBI taxonomy): domain Eukaryota; kingdom Metazoa; phylum Chordata; class Mammalia; order Primates; family Hominidae; genus Homo; species Homo sapiens. Next base: position 195,234,979 of record NC_000003.12, read on the forward strand.
AAGCCAGTAACTCTTAGATTTGCCCCATTGAGGCAATTTTCCAGATCTCGTAGGCAAGCTTCATTCTTTTTTACTCTTTCTTTTGTCTCCTCTGACTGTTCTTTCTTGCTTGCTTTCTTTTCTCGCTCTCTTGCTTTCTTTTTTTGAGACAGGGTCTGGCTCTGTCATCCAGGCTGGAGTGCAGTGGGGCAATCTTGCCTCACTGCAACCTCTGCCTCCCAGGCTCAAGCCATCCTCCCAGCTCTAACTGTGTATTTTCACATAGCCTCTTAAAGTTTACTATTTCATTCTTCTACTTGATTAATTCTACTATTAGGAGATTCTGATGCATTCTTCAGTAAGTCAATTGCATTTTTCAGCTCCAGAATTTCTGCTTGACTGTTTTTAATTATTTCAATTTGTTTGTTAAATTTATCTGATAGGATTCTGAATTCCTTCTCTGTGCTATCTTGAATTTCTTTGAGTTTCCTCAAAACAGCTATTTTCAATTCTCTGTTTGAAAGATCACATATCTCTGTTTCTCCAAGACTGGCCCCTGGTGCCTTATTTAGTTCACTTGGTGAGGTCCTATTTTCCTGGATGGTCTTGATGCTAGTGGATGTTTGTAGGTGTCTGGCCATTGAAGAGTTAGGTATTTATTGTAGTCTTTGCAGTCTGGGTTTGTTTGTACTCATCCTTCTTGGGGAGGCTTTCCAGGTATTCAAAGGACGTGGGTGTTGTGATCTAAGTTTTTGGTCACTGCAGCTGTATCTGCATTAGGGGGCATACCAAGCCCAGCAATGCCGTGGTTCTTGCAGATTTGTAGATGCACCACCTTGATGGTCTTAGATCACATCTGGAAGAATTCTCCGAATTACTTGTTCTCTTCCCTATCTCCCAGATGAATGCAATCTCTCTATATATCTATAAATATATAGACATAGACATAGACATAGACATAGACATAGACATAGACATAGACATAGACATAGACATAGAGATATACACCTGGCTGGGCTGCCTGGAGATTGGGGAGGGGTGACACCCCTGTCACTATCACCACTGGGACTGCACTTGGTCAGATCTGAAGCCAGCACACCACTGAGTTTTGCCCGAGGCCTGCTATAACCACTAGCTGACTACTCTCTATGTTCAATCAAGGCCCTAGGGCCCTACAATTAGCAGGTGGCAAAGACTGCCAGGCTTGTGTCCTTCCCTTAAGGGCAGTGAGTTCTCTTGGGCCCCAGGCAGGTCCAGAGATGCTATCTGTGAGCCAGGGCCTGCAATCGGAAGCCCTAGAAATCTGCCTGGTGCTCTATTCTACTGCGGTTAAGCTGGCAACAAAACCACAAGATAAAGTCCTTCCCACTCTTCCCTCCTCTTTCTCCAGGCAGAGGACTCTCTCCCTGTGTCCAGTACCACCACAGGCCCATGGGGAGTGCTGCCAGAGCGCCACCAATGTTCACTTAATGCCCAAGGACTCTTTAGTCAGCTTGTGGTGAATGCTGCCAGTCCTGGGACTCTCTTCAGGGCAGTGAGCTCCCCTCTGGCCTGGGGTAGGTCCAGAAATGCTATCCCAGAGCCAAGGCCTGGAACTGGGGACCCCAAGGGCCCAGTTGGTGCTCCCCCTATGTCTGAGCTGGTATCTAAGCTGCGAGACACAGTCCCCTTTATTCTTCCCTCTCCTTTACTCAAGCAGAAGGAGTCTCTCCTCGTTAACCACCACAGCTGTGAATGTGCTGGATCCCATCTGAAGCCAGCAGGTCTCAGAGTCTCACCCAAGGCCCATGGTATGTACTACCTGGTTACCACTGCTGATTATTCAGGGTCCAGGGGCTCTTTCGTCAGCAGGTGATGATTCCTGCCATTACTGGGTCCTTCCCTTCAGGGCAGTAGGCTCCCTTCTGGCCCAGGGTGTCTAGAAATGTCATCTAAGATCTAGGGCATGGAATGGGGGCCTCATGACTCTGCCTGGTGCCTTATCCTACCGTGACTGAGCTGGTACCCAAGTTGCATGACAAAGTCCTCTTTACTCTCCTCTCCTCTAACAGAAGGAGGGGGTCTCTTTTGGAGCTGTGAGCTGCGCTGCCTGGGTTTGGGGGATAGGGGATGCAAGTGCTCCCTGAGCCACCCTGGCTGGTGTCTCATTAGGTCATGTAACCCCCAAGTCCACTGGCTCTGAGCCCAGCACAGCACTAGGACTCACCTGGGTGTTGCAGTCCTTGTGGCCTGGTTTATTTAGAACCCAGAACACTTTAACCTATGGTAACAAGGCTTGCTGGAACTCAAGTTCTGACTGCTGAGATGGGTGATTCTCCTCTGTCTAGGCTGGTCTAAATGCTCCCTCCGTGGGCATCGGCTGAGTTCTACCCACTGCTGGCAGCAATGAGTTCCAATGCAAAGTCCCACAACTGCTGCACTCTCCTTTCCCCGTCACACAGGTTCTCTCTGAGCACCATGTGGCCACCGCCACAGGGATGGAGTCAGTGATCAAGACTGTCTTTCCTACCCTCTGCAGTGCTTCTTTCGGTAATATGAAGTTAAAACCAGGTACTGTGATCGCTCACCTGATTTTTAGTGCCCACGAAGGTGCTTTTTTGGTGTAGATCGTTGTCAAATTTGGTGTTCTTGTGAGGAGGATGGTTGGTGGAGGCTTCTGTTTGGCCACCTTGCTCCACCTCCAGCCTAACCATAAAAACCTTTTATGCCACATTGGTCCTCCTCATTCCCTAAAACTTGTTTTATGTAACACTTTAAATCTTCTGCCTCATTATAAAAGCCTTTTTAAAAATGTCTTCATGCTTCTCTTCTAAGGTACCGTTTCCTTTATCCTTTTCTGGCTACTGGTTTGTTTGTTGTTTGTTTGTTTTTAATACTTTTTTCCAGACACAGAATCCAGACCAGTTCCTGCTATTTTCCAACAGAAATCTCAAATTATGTTTCTCATTCCCACACCCCTCCGCTTCCTCTCACCCCTGCCCCTGCGACCTCTCTGACAGGTTTCCCTACCTCCTACCTTCCCCACTGCCCCATTCTGTTATACCTCCAGAATTGTTTTCCAAATAGAGAAATTCGTTTTTCTCTCTCCCTGGCTTCAAGACCTCCGACGACTCGTCGCTCCCTTAGTTACAGTCCGAATCCTCTAGCAAGGCCTCTAAGCCGCTGCAATAGTGGTTCTGGCCCCGTCCCCCGACCTCCCCGCCTCGTGTGACTGGGCAGCACTGAACCAGGCAGTCTCCCGTCTACTGGCCACACCTGGATGACCTACATCCTTGCATGCCTGTACTTGCTCTTCCCACCGTCTGTAATTACCTCTCCCAGCCCCCATCTGCCTGGTAAGATCCTATCCAGTTTTCCAATCCTCCCCTCCAGCCTTCCCACAGCCTCCCACAATTCACCAGGCCCTTCCTAACACCCTGCATCGCATGGGGGCTCCACTCACCCTGTCTGACTCACTTTTCAGGGCTCTGTTTCTCTATCGGCTGCATGGGGCACTCCTCGTAGGCAGAGGCCGTGACTGCTCTGTGCCCTGTATCCAGCCACTGGCCACATGACAGGCCACCCATACATCCATACAGGTTTGCTAAACTAAGTGAACTGCACTTTGGGCAAGTAACTAAACCTCTCTGAGCCCCAGTTTCTTCGTGGGTAATACAGGACTGTCACCACATGCTTCCTGTGGTGTCTGTCAGGGCCATGTGGAACACACATTGAGCCCGGGGGTTGCCACACTGTGCTTACTCCTAAGTGTTAGCACCAAACCTCCTCCCAGTCCCCGAAATGCCTTCTCCCCACAGATCAGTTTTCACTCCTAAGCCAGCTTTTCCCTCCCTCCAAATCATCCCTATCCGTTCGAATTACACAGGAAGCTGGAAGCTGACAAGAGGGTTCTCGCAGAAGGGAAGGCCTCTGTGTTCACTAAGCAGGAAGAGAAAGAACGGATCTGCGCAGGCATACACGCAGAGCAGGGCTGCTGCAGCCAAACTAAGGGAGATGAAGAGCTATCCTCAGCCAGCTCACTCCCTACTGGCCCCATCTCACCCCAAAGCTTCACAGGAGACAACTGCATCCCATCAGCATGAATAGACTTCTGAGGACAAACTGTACTCAGTACATTGTTCCAGACGCTGTGCTGCCAAGCCTGCACCCATGAATATTTCATATAATAAATCTGCTTAAAGATAAATGAGTATGCTTCATGGAATAGACTTTATGCAGCAAGAGGCAAATCACAGACCCTGCAAGTGTGAATCAAAATACCCAGGCCTCCCAAAGACTAAAACAGGTTTGCAAACTAACCTTCCCAAGGATGGGCTGGCACCTGTCATACTCTGGGGTCCTTTGCCCAGACCAGGGGCTGATGCCTGGCAGTGCGGCAGGGGGCAGCAAAGCAAGAGTGAAGAGAGGAAATGAGAGGGATGGGGGAGAGAAAAGGCCACCCCTTCGACCTCCCCTCCTCCCTTTCAAGTCCCCCACCTCGAGAGCTGCAAGAAGAACATACAACCTGGGAAACCAGGAATATAAGATGACTTCCATACTGAAGGCAATTAGCCAATGAGAAGACACAAAACAATAGTTAATGCCAACCTGGAATATATGATTTTTAGGAATGTAGACAAAAAAGTCTGATCACGATTTGTAGGTTTTATTAATTTGTTTACATACACATACTTAAAAATCCTGTTGACTATAAAATACTATTTCCCACACCCAGCTTACAAAATAATTTCTCTTCAAACCCTTCGTGTGCATCAACAGCAATGCCTTTATGAAGCCCAGAGTCAAGCTGAGCCACCCAGAGCACGTCCTCCTCACCAGCTGTTTAGGATGTGTTGGATACGGTTCCCTGTGAATTTATGTAGAATGTTGGCATCAGAAATGTCACCCCAACCCACAAGAACCCATGTTCGTATCATGAGGGCAGTTGGGTGTTGTTTTTAATCACCTAATGACATTTCTCAAAGTAGGGTTCTTCACCGGCCTATAATCATATATTTGTAGCCATTCACTAACCTTCAGGAATATCCCACCCCAGGAATATCCTGCCCCAGAAATGATTAAATCTGTGTTAAATTTCTCTGCCTACTTTTATTTTTAATTACTTCTGCATCTAAATTCAGTAATGACTGAGCTTTCTTTTCAGGCAAAGGTGTCCTCAAACAGTACTTTGTTGTTCAAACTAAAATATGTAACCGAGAAAGTGCTGTGTGATATAAAAGACCTTGGAAAGGCTCAACTCTTTCGAAAGGGACAGTGTAGGGAGGAGGGGAAAGAGGTGAAGCTTGCCTCATATTCTACCATGCACAGCAAACTCAACACTTGTGATGCAGGGAGGCTGAAGCATCCATCAGTCATGGCAGAGCCTGGTGCCAGGCAGAAGCAGGCGTCTTTGCCACCCAGCCCTGTGCTCGCTGGCACTGAGATGCCTGAGAGCCAGGCCACCGCTCCTCTAAACACTCCCTGGGGACATAAACTCAGGCCAAGCCTTTAGCTCCATTTGGTGGAGAAAACTAATTTTATCACTTGGCCGGCCCCACTGGGAGTCAGGTCGCAGCCACACTCCTGAGCCAAGAAGGCACGTGGCAAGGGCTGGCCCCACGCACGGAAAGATGCCAGGTTTCCCGGAAATCCCAAGGCCTGTTTGAAGAACAGCCACTCCTCTGGCCACAGACAGCAACGCCACAGGTCGGCCGGAGGCCAAGGGTTCACCCATCTCCTCCCCATGCGCCGCCAGAGACCATCCCCCAGCACAGCTATTGGAGGGAAGGTGGTGGCACAAAGCTCAGGCACACTCTACCCAAGTCCAGCAATCCTGGTGCCCCTGCCAATGCTGAATCCACCTCCTGAAGGAACCATAAACTGGGGGACTGAGGCAGGAGGATCGCTTGAACCTGGGAGGCGGAGGTTGCAGTGAGCTGAGATTGTGCCACTGCACTCCTGCCTGGGCAACAGAGCAAGACTCCATCTCAAATAAAAAAAAGAGTCACTAAAACGCTCCAAACCTATAGGTAGATCAAACACAATTCTGAACGGAAGAGGTCTTAATGTATCAGAAAAGTCACTAAGTAAAGACATCTGCCTCCCAATTGGAAATGGCCTCTCCCACTCTCCCACTCTCAGGCCTCGTCAAGCCTGGCAGAACACCAAGGCCGACCTGAAGAAGCAGGGCGGGTCTTTCAGGACCGACACCTACTTGGCACATTCCCAAGGAGGAGCTGTTCACACCTTCTTGAAGCAAGGGCAGGTGCCCTGTGATGTCTGGTATCCATACACTTGGAGGACAAGCAAACAAAATGACAGGCTCTGAGGCTGGTGGTTGGGGACACAATAGACCCCACTATGGGCCCCACAGGATTTAAATTAGGGCACAGCTATTCTGTGTCCTGATTTTCATGTCTGAAATTGTATCAAACGTGTTTCCTTAAAGGAAGTTTTCCTGGAGCAACAGACAGATGATTGAGTGATGGATGGGCAGAGCTACACTACCTATTGATCTCTCCCCAAGGCTTGTCAGCAATTCCAACAAGAACTGGAGGAAAAATGACTTTCTGGGAAAACAAAACAAAACATTGTTTTCCAATTAACCTGCACCAAGAATGTGAAGGCGCATTTCCAGAAGCGAAGAAAAATCTGCTAACGGACTAGGAGTCTTTCATTCCTACACCCATGCCAGACACCTGAACACCCCAGGGCCTATGCACTGTCTACTCTGCTCAGAGAACCCTCCCCCAGAACCTTCTGCCTGAATCCTTCTAGCCATTCAGGTATCAGTTCAAACGTCACCTCCAGAGATTTTCCCTCACCAAAAAAGTAGCTACCACCCTCACCACCAACACACACACACATGCGCACAACACACACACACATGCACACAACATACACAGACATGCACACAACACACACATGTACCCATCAGTCCTGGCTATTGCATGACCAGATTCATTTCCTCCATAATACTTATCACCAGACATGTCATATTTTTCAGTGTTTAGTCACTTACTGCCCATCTCTCCCCAGCTCCCAGCCAGCCTGTAAGGCACCATGAGGGCGGGACCTTGTCTGTCGTATTCATTGCTGCATATCCAGCTCTTAGTCAAGTGCTTCCCATGCAGTGGAGGCTCTGTAAATGCTTGCTGCAGGTAGGAACGAGCAAATAAAGGGGCAGAGAGGAGGGGCGATGGGACAACTGTTTCAGACACAGAATGTTGCCCCGTGGCCCCGCAGCACCTGGGAACTGAGCAGTTCCTTCTGACCCCAGCATCTCCCCCGGGCATGTCATGTGCTTCTCCATCCCAGCCCTCACCCAAAGAGAGAGATTTCTTCCACATAGGACTTACTCTAAACATTCCGGAGCACAGGCCTCCTTCTCACCTTTAACCTGCTAGACAGAAGACCCGGGCTACAATCACTCTCTTTGTCAGTAGGAGCTGTTGCCTCAATTTTACACCCAACCTGCAAACTACTGATACGACTTTGATGACTGGAGCAACACCAGGGTTCTTGGTCTTGCGCCAACAGGATCAATGACATGGACACATGAGGAGTGGTTTTAAGGAGCGAAAAGTTTAATAGGCAAGAAAGAAGGAAGAAAGAAGGGAACAGCTCACCCGTACAGAGACAAGGGATAGGGTTTGGAACAAGGAGAAACAAAGTGCAGTGGAAAAGCGGGGGTTCACATGGGAGGCTGGAGGAGGTGGGGTCTGATCTGCATAGGGCCCAGGGAATTGATTTGTCCAGGTATGTTATTTACACAGCCCGCAGAAAAACCTGGCCCTCCCACCTTAGCCCTTTTAATATGCAAATGTAGGGTGCCATGATGTTCTGAACACAAGGTGTTATCTGGAGGTGGCCATAACACTTGCTACACCCAGTGACAAGAACAGGGTGGGAATCGCCATGTTGAGTGAACCCAGTTTCTAATGGCTGGCATTCGCATATCAAAGCTTGCTGGCCCAGCCCTTCAAGACGCCTTTTCTGTTAGAAAAGAGATGGTTCGGCAACCCAAATGCCCATCAATGATAGACTGGATTAAGAAAATGTGGCACATATACACCATGGAATACTATGCAGACACAAAAAAGGATGAGTTCACGTCCTTTGTAGGGACATGGATGACACTGGAAACCATCACTCTCAGCAAACTATCGCAAGGACAGAAAACCAAACACCACATGTTCTCACTCATAGGTGGGAACTGAACAATGAGAACACTTGGACACAGCAAGGGGAACATCACACACCAGGGCCTGTCGTGGGGTGGGGGGAAGGGGGAAGGATAGCATTAGGAGATACACGTAATGTAAATGACGAGTTAATGGGTGCAGCACACCATCATGGCACATGTATACATATGTAACAAACCTGCACGTTGTACACATGTACCCTAGAACTCAAAGTATAATAAAAAAAAAAAGAGATGGTTCGGGGGTTGTTTCTTATTATAAGAAAATTTCCACCGAGAACCTTTACCTTAACTGTCTGCCTAAAAGTTATTCTTAATAACTTCTCTATTACTACTTCAGAATAGCCATGCCCGAATCTAAAATTTATGTCTGAAATTATATCAAAGGTGTTTCCTTAAATGAGGTTTTCCTGGAGTGACAGACAGATAATTGAGTGATAGACGGGTAGAGCCACAGGTCTATTGATCTCTCTTTTCTTAGTCACTAACATGTCCTGAAGACACTATCAGTGGCTGCCTGTTGCCCCCACCAATAACTTGAGCTCACTTTGAAAACAAAGGTCTGCAAGGGTAAGTGGTAAATGCTCTGAATTTGGTTAGCTTTAAATGGAAAAGGTAACAGTCATAATGGACGTGCAGTTTTTACAAGGAAAGAAAAAGACAGAACCACAGGCTGGGCCCCTCCCTCATGTGACGATTATCGCTTCTGCAGGATGTCCTGGATGGACTAGTAATTGAATTTTGTCAGGCAGCACCACAAACAGCTGAGAGGGGAAAAGCAGCCTGCCCAGCTAATTTCTAAAGCCATGTCCAATATCCATTCTCACAACCTACTTTACTGACAGTTCAAAAGTGACAGCCCCTCCTCCCCACGCTGTCCTCACTGCACGACGTCCAATCGTTACCTCCTCACCCTCATCTCCACCTCGTGCTTACTGAACCATCACTAGTTTCTAGGTAACCAGACCTGCAATGAACGTTCTAGGACTCCTGCAAGATTGCCATTGTGTCAGCAGAGATGGGCCCTATTCCAGTCATCCAAAACCTTGATATGACCAGGGCAGGGTAGGAGCAAATGTAACACAAAGACACCGGCCCACTGGACAGCAGGTGATGAAACGTCACATGTCAACAGGACGGCGTGTCTCCAGCAAGCCTGCAAGCTTCACCCTCGCTGCAAGGAGGGCAGCTCTGGGTCCTGGGTCTCCAGCTTTGCTGCACGCACACATGGCTCTTGCTGGGGAGACTTATTAAAACACAGACTCCAGGGTACTGAGCACAGAGATTCTGAGTCAGGGTCGGCAGTCAGGCACAGGAATCTTCATTTAAAAACCACTCCCGGCCGGGCGCGGTGGCTCATGCCTGTAATCCCAGCACTTTGGGAGGCCAAGGTGGGTGGATCACCTGAGGTCGGCTGTTCGAGACCAGACTGACCAACATGGAGAAACCCCTGTCTCTACTAAAAATACAAAATTAGCCAGGCGTGGTGGAGGGCGCCTGTAATCCCAGCTACTCGGGAGGCTGAGGCAGGAAAATGGCGTGAACCCAGGGGGCAGAGCGTGCAGTGAGCCAAGATCACACCACTGCACTCCAGCCTGGGCGACAGAGCAAGACTCTGTCTCAAAAAAAAAAAAAAAAAAAAAAACATGTTTCATTTAAAAATTTTTAAACTTTAGATCATTATGACAAATACAACATGAGACTCTGTCTCAAAAAAAAAAAAAACAAAAAAAAACCCACTCCCGGCCGGGTGCGGTGGCTCACGCCTGTGATCCCAGCACTTTGGGAGGCCAAGGTGGGTGGATCACCTGAGGTCGGGAGTTCAAGACCAGCCTGACCAACATGGAGAAACCCCCGTCTCTACTAAAAATACAAAATTAGCCGGGGGTGGTGGCACGTGCCTGTAATCCCAGCTACTCAGGAGGCTGAGGCAGGAGAATTGCTTGAACCTGGGAGACGGAGGTTGCAGTGAGCCAAGATTGCACCATTGCTCTTCAGCCTTATGTGTAGCCCAAGAAAATTTTTTTTTTTTTTTTTTTGAGACGGAGTCTCGCTCTGTCACCCAGGCTGGAGTTCAGTGGTGTGATTTTGGCTCACTGCAATCTCTGCCTCCCGGGTTCAAGCGATTCTCCTGCCTCAGCCTCCTGAGTAGCTGGGATTACAGGCACGCACCACCACGCCCAGCTAGTTTTGTATTTTTAGTAGAGATGGGGTTTCACCATATTGGCCAGGTTGGTCTTGAACTCCTGCAAGTGATTCGGCCCACCTCGGCCTCCCAAAGTGCTGGGATTACAGGAATGAGCCACTGCACCTGGCCCAATTCATCTTCTTCCAGTGTGGCCCAGGGAAGCCAAAAGACTGGACACACCTGTTCTAGAGTGTCCCAAGGAGGCAAGGGGTCCAGAAGCCATTTAATTTGAGCGGCAGCTGAAGGAACTACGGGTGTTTGCCTCACGTGGGAGTGGGAAGAGGCAGAGAGGATGATATGTGTGTCTCCTCCAAATCTCATGTTGGAGTGTGATTCGCAACGCCGGACTGGGGCCTGGTGGGAGGTACGGAATCATGGGGGCGGGTCCTTCATGAATGGTTAGCACCATCTCCTTGGATGTGAGTTAGCTCTCGCTCAGGCGGTTCACGGCAGATCTGGTTGTAGAAAGAAGTGTGTGGCACCTCCACCCGCCTCCACTCTCTCCTGCCCCTGCTCTCACCCTGTGATGTGCCTGCTTCCCCATCACCTTCCGCCATGACCGGAAGCTTCCTAAGGCCTCCCGCAGAAGCAGGCGCTGGCACCACCCTTCTCTACAGCCTGCAGAACCATGAGCCAATTACACCTCTTTTTAAAATAAATTACACAATCTCGGATATCTCTTTATAGCAACGCAAAAATGGTCTAATACAGAAGACAACACAACCACACACACACCTGCTGATTTATTCTCTTCGCCTCCTTCTCCATCTAGCACACTGGTGTTTACACCAGGTTTTTTCTTGCCTGTAATGAAGGGAGGATAAATGGCTAAAATAAACCCCTTCTCTCTTTCAAAATCTCAATTTGCTTTTGACTCAGGCGCTCCTAACAGAGCAACAATCAAGCATCGGTCCCCAGGAAGACAAGGCTGTCACGACTGGAAGAAAGAAGACCTGCGCAAAGGATCCAGTGCCCTCTCTGTGCCAAGTGTGGCCAGACCTGTTCTTCTTCCCCTCACCCTGCTCGTGTCTTCCTCACCTCCAATGGCAAGAGGGTCTTTGGCAAGCAGATACAGAGACGAAGACCGTGTAAGCACAGCAATACACAGTGTGTCTGTCTTGTAGGTACGGCACCTTGTGGACCTTCAAACACACGGGCCTTCCAGATGAATTTCCAGGATGACCATGAGGAACTATGGCAAACCAGCAGGATGGAGCCATGTCCCTGGAGGGAGAGCAAGACTCAGGGGAAAAATGAGAGGAATGAGCAGTGAGCAGAGGCAGAGGGGGTGAGCCCCGGACACTCCTCCAGGCTGATGAGGAATAAACCACAAGGCAGCTCCAAAGGAGAGGCGGGGGTGAGCAGGGGTCTGTGCTATCCTCTGGACTCTCTGTGTGTTCATGACCAGCCAACAGTGATGTTACAATGTGGCCACATGGCCTTCCAGACACCGTGACACAGGCTGAGGGGTTCCACAAGCATAAATCCAGGATTTCTTTAACACGGTCTATCCAGCCCCCACAGCCACAGCCAGAGAGCCAGTCCCAGACTCCCGGCGCCACTCGCCACCTGCCGCTCCAGCCTCCTGGTCCCAATTTCTGTCTCTCCACAGAGAAACATTACAAATGCACGGAGTCACTCACCATCTGTTTTTGGCACTCACTAAAGAATACTCTGAGTGAACTTTTTTGAAATAATCCTTGCACAGTGGGTAGAAGCATTCCCTAATTCACCTTTTCTATAAATCATGTTTTGCTTTTTGACATTTAATACTAAATTTTCCGGACAGTAGAAGCCGTTTTTCTACAAAATAATGTGTTCCACCCCAAAAAGGAGGGGAAGAGGTATGGCAGCGAGGGAAAGACAAGAAGGAGGTGAGATGGGAGAAGAGGGCGAACGGCCGTTCCAGGATTTCACTGTGAAATCTGAGGGTGGTCGGTCACAGTCCACGTATTCACCAAGCCGAGCGGTGGGAGGGCCGTGAAGGCTTCTTAGCCAGATTCCTCGATTTGTCCTTTTTTCGTGTGGGAACCATCCCATGACCTATGACCTCCAAAGAACACTGCAGTTTTACCATGAGTAACACCCAAAGGAGGCACTGAGCCAGATTCTGTCCCGCAGGCAGGAAGGTGGCCTGGGCCGGGAGGCTCGTCCCCATCTTCCGCACCTCACCCTCGTGCACAGCTTCCTCTAGGGGCCGGCCTCTCTTGAAACTGGCATTGAGCCCCAGTTCCGAATGGCCCCCCACCTCCTTCCTGGCTCTCTGGGTTGGGGACACAGCTGGAGCCCAAGGGGGAGAGCCATGATCCCCAGACAGCCCTGCCAGGCTCGAACCCTCCGACCCCAGGGCAGGCTCAGCTGCTGTATTAGCCTGTTCTCACACTGCTGTAAAGAAGGACCCAAGACTTGGTGATTTATAAGGAAAAGAGGTTTGATGGACTCACAGTTCTGCCTGGCTGGGGAGGCCTCAGGAAACACACAATCACGGCGGAAGGGACACATCTCACCATAGTGCAGCAGGACAGAGAGAGAGAAGGGGGAAGCGCTACACACTTTCAAACAGCAGATCTCCTGAGAGCTCACTGACTCTCACGAGAAGAGCAGGGAGGAAGTCCCGCCCCTGTGGTCCAATCACCTCCCACCAGGCCCTTCCTCTGACACGTGGGGATTACAATTTGAGGTGAGATTTGGGTGGAGACACAGCCAAACCTTATCAGCCACTTTCCAAGGCTGCCTGCTCTCCTGGGTTTCACAAAGCCGCTCATCCAGTGCTCGCTGAGATTGGTACACACACATCCAGAGGGGTGCAAAAGGGCGTCCTGTGGGCACACGGACCAACCACTTAGATACTTACAGGCTTATACTGTTGTGCAAAGTACTAAGAAGAAAGCTTTAGAACTTTGACTTCAACAGATACTACCTCAGGAGGGGCTAAGGAGAAAAGAAGAAGAAAAAGGAGTTGACATGGTTTGGCTGTGTCTCTCCCCAAATCTCATCTTGAATTCCCACCTGCTGTGGGAGGGACTGGGCGGGAGGTAACTGAATCGTGCGGGCAGGTCTTTCCCGTGCAGTTCCTGTGAAAGTGAGTAAGTCTCATGAAATCTGATGGTTCCGTAAGGAGGAGTTTCCCTGCACAGCTCCCGCTTCCCTGAACAACAACACCACCACAAAAGACGGGAGTTTCTCTTATTTTTTTGCCTGCTGCCATCCATGTAAGACATGACTCACTCCTCCTTGCCTTCCACTATGATTGTGAGATTTCCCCAGCCACATGGAACTGTAAGTCCATTAAAATGCCCTTTTTCCTTGGCCAGGCGCAGTGGCTCACACCTGTAATCCCAGCACTTTGGGAGGCCAAGGCGGGTGGATAACCTGCAGTCAGGAGTTTGAGACCAGCCTGGCCAACAGGGTGAAACGCCGTCTCTACTAAGAAAATACAAAAATTAGCTGAGTGTGGTGGCAGGCACCTGTAATCCCAGCTACTCGGGAGGCTAAGGCAGGAGAATCGCTTGAACTCGGAGGGAGGAGATTGCAGTGAGCCAAGATTGCGCCACTGTACTCCAGCCTGGGGGACAGAGTGAGACTCTGTCTCAAAAAACAAACTCCTTTTTCCTGTATAAATTACCCAGTCTCGGGTATGTCTTTATCAGCAGCGTGAAAATGGACTAATACAGGAGCCAAATTAAAATATACGTTAAGTAGGTAATACTGCAGACAGCTCTAGGGCACTGGGAAAATGCAGGAAGGAAACATGCAGACGGAATTGTAGATGCCCTATTCACATCCATCGCCTCCTTTTGTGGGTGAGACACTGTTTAAAAGGCCAAGTGCGGCACCAGCAGCCAGGGGGAGTTCAACACGCTGATTTCCCCGCCTGACGTCAGAACCTACTCACCTAATTCACCTAATGTCTCATCTAAAGCCTCTAACTAAATCCCTTCCTGTAACTTCAAAAGGTTACACCCACCAGGCGATGTTCAGGATCTGGCACTTCTCTAAGCAGCACCATGCTGTATAAAACAGGCATAGGGCTCACATCAGGCATACGGCTCACATCAGCACACAATGGCCACGCGGCTCACACCAGGCGCATGGCACGTGACAGGCACATGGCACACTGGCACCTGCTCTTCATGGGATCACAAAGAAAGGAAACATGTCAGGCAGCAACGTAGATGGACATGAGCTCATCTCATCCTCACCATAACCATGCCCCGTGGAAAGGAGGCAGTCGTGGCCAGAGAGGGGAAGGTCCCTGCCCAGGGTGACTAGGTCGATGGCCAAAGCCCAGATTTCAGCCCACGTCTCGCCGATTCCAGAACACACTCAACCTTTCAGGCACAAGGGTTGCCCTCGCTTCACTTGTCCTATTTGACTCCTTCATTAAGGGGCACAGCTCCCACTGAGCCTGCTCACTACAAACCCAAGCGCTGTCAAAAGAGGTAAACGTGTGGTCTGTAGCCCTCTTGATGTCACATACTTCAAGTCCACGCATAAATAAACTCTAGTGGAGAAAACCTCAACATCCCAACCTAGTAGCGGCCCTTTCCTGATGGATCCAGAATCCCTCCACCACCCACCACCACCACAGCTTCCCCAGGCCAAGCACCATCCTCTCTCCCCAGAGCCAGGGTGATGGCCTCCTAAGGGTCTCCCCAGCATTCTACTCTCCACACGGAGGCCAGAGCCCTCCTCCTCTGACCCAGTCAAAGCTGGAATCCTCACTCTGATGCAGGCTGGGAGCTGCCCTCCTCCTGCTAGCTCTGGCACTGATGTCCACTGTGCTCACCCAGGCCACACTGCACTGAGCCTCCGACACAGCAGCCCCTCACACCTGCTGCCCAGATGCTCCTCCCCAGGGCTGCCCAGCCAGCTCCTTCTTTCCTTCAGGTCTTCACTCAATGTCACCTTTTAGTGACAGCTTCCCTGCCCATCCAATTAAAAACTGCAACTGGCCGGGCGTGTTGGCTTACACCTGTAATCCCAGAACTTTCGGAGGCCGAGGTGGATGGATCACGTGAGGTCAGGAGTTTGAGACTAGCCTGGCCAACGTGGTGAAACCCCGTCTCTACTAAAAAATACAAAAATTAGCTGGGCGTGGTGGCACATGCCTATAACTCTAGCTACTTGGGAGGCTGAGGCCAGAGAATCACTTGAACCCAGGAGGCAGAGGTTGCAGTCAGCAGAGATCGCGCCACTGCACTCCAGCCTGGGCGGCAAGAGTGCAACTCCATCTCAAAAAAAAAAAAAAAACACTGCAACCACCCCCATACTCCTGGTCCTCTTCTCCTGCTGACACACGGTATAATGTACTCACCTGCTAACATACTATATGATTTATTCATCTGCTTTTCATGGAACAAAGAAATGAAACCTAACCTTTTATGAACCCCTACTTCACTGTCTCCCAGGCAGCAAACGAGACATTTTAACAGCTCATCTAGTCCTCTTCCTGCCAGGATGTAAGCGCTACAAGGCAGGGACTTTTCACCTGTTCTGTCTCTTCTGTTCATTGATACACCCAAGTTCCCAGGACAGCACCTGGCACATAGTAGATGCCCAGGCTGAATGATGGCTTCAGATAGCAGCAATACTGGACGGGGTTACATGGATCTTAAAAATGCTCATCTCAAAGCAGCACTCGTTTGCCTCTGGCTTTTGTGAATGACCCACAAGGACCAACCTAGGCTTCCCTCTGTCGGCATAAATGTGCACTGGCCAGACGGCCCTGGGATCTGAGGACTCCCTCAAGCTACATGAAAGCACAGACCATCTCACTGAGCACAGCTGCAGGAAGGAGACAGCCAAGTCATCCTCGCACGAGGCCCCTGCTGCCCCGCGGGCAGGTCCCCCACCTCCACCCCACCTGCTGGCTCCCCAAGGCTCAAGCCTAGCAGACCATGGTTAGGAAAAGCAGAGACCACTTGCTAACTGCAAAAATCAAGTGGATGACCAATATGGGTAGAGCCAAGCGGTCACCCAAATCACTCATGTGACCCCATGTGTTTCTGACAGGGAAGGCGGGGCCCAGCCAGGTGGAAAGGGGCTATCCACAGGTTAGGCAGCAGGTCCCTATAGGAGCCAGCCCAGAAGCCAGGCCCCCGGCCCTTCTCATACAGCCCTGCACCTGCCCATGAAGGGAGTGAGGCCAGGACAGACGCCTGTGAAGCTGCGCTGAGCACCGGGTCCAGACTTCAGTGAGGGGCTGCTCCGCCTGCAGCTGGAGGCACCCTCCTCTCTACCCTCCACAGAGACTCTGAACGCTCTCGGAAGGTTGGCCCCAGTGTCTGCACAGCCAGGAAGTCTGAGGTGGCACAAAGGAGCCACGCAGGTCTGCTCTCAAAGTTTCCCTCCTATCCTATTTCCAAAGTTGCCCCCAAGCCTCTACTACCTCCTGCCTCAAAGGCAGCAAGACCCACACCAATAAAAGGGAGTCTCCGCCAAGTGCTCAAGAGAACATGGAATGGGAAGGGGAACAGCCACCTGGAGGGGAGCTCACCAGGGTCCTGCAAAGCAGAAGATGCACACACCCCAGGACCCAGCAGCCCCTTCCAGGCGTGACCCTGGAGAGCCTCAAGCACATTGTTCGCCTGGGTGTTCACAGTAGTGGGAGTGACAAAACAGGGGAACCACCCGGCCATCTCTCAGAAGGCAAATGAGTAAACGGAGGTCCACCCACAATAAAATACTACACAGCAATTAAAATGACAGGGCAAGACTTCCATGTATCAGCAAAGATAAATCTCAAAATCATAAGGCTATGAAATCTCATACTCACAATGAAATGTCAAATGGATATATGAGACTGTTTACATAACTGCTGAAAACATACAAAGCAGTAATACATATATATTTTATGCATACATATGTGGTAAAAATTAAAAACATACAAATTGCACAAAACACCAACTTCTTATTTGTGACAGTAAATACCTCTGGAGGGAGTAGGATGGAGAAGAAATAGAGTGAGCTTTAGCTACGTCTATAATATTTTATTTCCTTAAAAAAAGAATCTTAAGCAAATAGAGAAAAATGTTAGCACCTATTTAACTTACACAGTAGAAACAAAGATATCTGTTACTTTTTTTGTTTTCATTTTTCTGTTTTGGCTTATTTTAGAATTAAAATTTTTTAACATCTAAAAAATATATCGTGAGAGGCAAAAAGCGGGGCTGTGTAATATAAATTAGCAGGAAAAATTCTTTATAATGAAGAGGCAAGAGAGTGGGCACTGAGGAGCAGCCCTGATAGACCTGATCTTCACATGTGTTAATTTGTGGGAACAGGACCACATAGGACTGGGAAGTGTTTCTTGTGGAGAATCAAGGAAGGTTCCTGGGAACAATTCAAAAGAAGAAAAAAAACCACACACACACACACACACACACACACACACACACAGAGAGAGAGAGAGAGAGAGAGAGAGAGATTCACTGTGGTGTTATTTATTGTGTGAAAAAAACAGAAACTCACAGCTCAGGTTACAAAAGAAATATGACTATAACGTATGCTACAGTGATATGAACAATAAGCTGGAGACAGGGCAGGGGCGGCGAGGCGGGGAGGCGTTTATGGCATACGCCACCGCAGGTGGGTCCCCTATTCAGTAACGTGAGTAGAGAACAAAATTCCCCTGCTCTATCCAAATTAGGCCTGCAAGAAACAAGGGCTCAAGGGAACGTGGGAAAATGAAGACGGTTTGTTGAATGAGATTTACAGCTTTCCACTACCTGGAGAAGCAAGTCACAAAGGGCTCTCCGTGGAGCCCAGGCACTGCACCCCAGCTGCCCGCTTTTCTCCAAGCACTTTCTCCTGCCCTTTTCTTGGACCCTCCCTCTCCCCGGGGCCCAGGGAAGGCTGCCCTAAGCACTGACTCCTCTCCTGGGGCAGTGAGATTTCCCTCTCATATTTCCAGGCTGGAACAAATCCCCCAAAGACTCCCGTAAATCAGGTCCAGATGCTGCACATGTCACAGAAAAAGGCTGAGAAGTCAACAGCTCCAGAAATCAGGAGGCGAAGCGGCAAGATCCCGTTTCATTTCCCAAGGCCCCTGCTTAAGACACAGCCTTAAGCAAAAGACACGTTTTCATTTTGCATTTGCCTTAAAATGTCTCCCAACTCTCTGAGAGCCACATCAGTTCTAAAATCTTCAACTGCTCACATTTCTTTTTTTTTCTTTTTTTTTTTTTTTTTTGAGAAGGAGTTTTGTCTCCCAGGCTGGAGTGCAGTGTTGTGATTTTGGTTCACTGCAACCTCCGCCTCCTGGGTTCAGGCAATTCTCCTGCCTCAGCCTCTCGAGCAGCTGGGACTACAGGTGCCCACCACCACGCCTGGCCAATTTTTGTATTTTTAGTAGAGACGGGGTTTCACTATGTTGGCCAGGCTGGTCTCGAACTCCTGACCTCAGGTGATCCGCCCGCCTCGGCCTCCCAAAGTTCTAGGATTACAGGCGTGAGCCACCGCGCCCGGCCTGTTCACATTTCTGATCAAAGCGAAAGCCACTCAGTCACTCAGTGAGCCCAAAGAAGAGACCAGTAAGCAGGGCCAGCCTACCTGGCAGTTTACATCCTCTGCAAACGCTGCTCAGCAAATTCAACTATGTAGCCAATCACTCTTCCCTCAAGTGAGTTTTAAAGGGTAACACCAGAGGGAAACGGTGCTCTCGGACAAGTCACGGGGGTGCCCACTGCCCAGCTGTGCACCAGGGGGCACCCCCACTGGGGTGGGGAGATTTCCCTCTCACATTTCCAGGCTGGAACAAGTCCCCCAAAGACCCCCATAAATCAGGCCCCAGGGGGCCCTCAGCGCTTGGAGACTCTGGCCACAGACGTCAGCAGTGACTGCCCAGGCCTGGCAGGTTCTCCAGGGCCTCAGCCCCAGGGCCTGGGACCAAAGCCCCACCCTGCACTGACCACAGGTTAAATTTGCCCTGAAACTGGGGTCAGCAGCAGAAACAACACGCCCCTCACCCTCCCAACCACAGGACGCAGGCTCGAAGCCTGACGAGGTGATTTTCAAAGTACCATCTGCTCCTGGGAAGCCATTCCCTGAGCCGGAAGCTTGTTCCTTTTCCCCTGTGAGGAAACTGGGGGCCACATGGCATCACACAGAGCCCTCTGCAGGCTCAGTCACCCTCTCACTCTTGCTCAGCACGTCCACGGGGCATAATTAAGTCTGTAGGCTGCGGGATCTCTGTGCCAAAACTGCTCTTTTGTTTCCCAAGGTGAAGCATCTGGAACCTGGGCATCCAGGCAACAGGCTCGCAAGGCCCAGATTCAGGGGCAGCCACCTGCGCCAGGCTGGGACCTGACACAGGGTGAGCAGGTGAGCCACTGAGCAGGACCATGAGGTGGCATGCTAAAGCTGGGCACAGCCACCAAGGGTGGGACACAGACCTGCAGGGCCTTCACGGGGCCAGGGCAGTGCCTAAGGGTCCACCTAGCACGCGTCAAGCACAAACAGCTGCGCTGTGCACATTCAGTCACTTAACGTCGCCCTCACACCAATGTTTTGGGGCAGGTGATAGGACTGGGCCCCTGCTACAGAGAGGAGGTGGTTCAGAGAATGTAAACAACTACCCCCCACCTCCCAGAAAGATGAGGTAGAGCCAGGATCTAAAGCGGCCCATCTGTAGCCAACACCATACTCATTCAAGAGACACACGCCCATTCCCACACCCGCTGCACAGGAAAGAGAAAGAAGTCAGACTCGGACCCTGTCCCCAACTGCCCCAGGCTGGGAAATTCACCAGCACTGCGGACAGAGCAGGGGATAACAGCAGCATCAGAAAGACCCATAAGGCCATAGGTTTGCAGAGGGAATGCAGTCCCTCAGCAAGGAGCTTCAGTCGGACTAAACCAGCAGAAAAGGCGGTTTCCGAGTACCATGCTCGCACAACAGGGAGCCGCCGACCAGGCCTGGAGATCCCTGTGACAGTCACGGCAGGACTGGGGCTGCAGGAGTGCAGAGCCAGGTGGGAGACAGCAGCGGGGTTCCCTACCCCACACGGCTCGCACCCACGAGCTCAGCCCCCAGCAGGACCCAGTCGGGCTGGGGACTCAGCTCCATCCAAGTGGGCTGAGCAGGGCCAGGCAATGGGTTGGAGGGAGCCATGACTCTGGGCCTGCAGCTGAGGAGGCTGCAAAGCTTCCTTCTGGAGCAGCCGATCAGTGGACGTGGAGCAAAGCCTTTCATTGTCCACAAAACACAGACGACTGCAGGGAGTCACAAGTGGGTGAGATCCAAAAGCTGTGTCAGGCTAGAAACCAAAACAGAAGACAAACCGGCGCACAGAGCAAGCACAGCGTAGAACTGGCTTCCGAACACAAGGGAAGGCAGGCAGGGAGACCATGAGTGCAGGGAACCAGAGAGGGCACAGGAGAGCTGCTCCCAGTCTCCCTTGTCCACTGAGCAGCTGTGTGGCCCTGAGCAAGTTGCTTGGCCTCTCTGGGCCCCCGTTTTCTCATGGATAACATGAATAGACTCAACTCCAGGACCAGAGTCTGGACTCCCTCCAACCCAGACCTCTTCTGCAGCTAAATGAGGGAGGTGGGGCTCCAACATCTCAGCCTGTAAATCCCACCTCCTAGAAAGAGGCTCCCTGCTGTTCTATGGGCAGCTCCTGGAGGAGGGAGGGAAGGTCCACCCCGGGCAGCCCTGGGATTCCCCTGTTCTGTGCCACCCAGCTGACCAGGGGAAGAGGCCACCCAGCCAGCAGCAGGCACAGGGGCACCGTGGGAACCCTTCTGGTGGGGCCCCAGCTCTCACAGAGCATTCCTGGCTTTGGAGGGACAAGAACAAACCGCCAAAATCAACAGGCATCGGGCAGAGTGCTGAAGAATCAGCAAGCCGGACTCCAATCATGGCTCCGAGCAAGCTCATCTGTGCAGCCTCTTCCTAGGGGAGACTAGCTACCCCTCACAGGCCTGGCTGCTCCAAGGTTAAATGAGGGAGGAAAAGCAGGATCCAGCATGGTGCCTGCCACCCAGGGTCTCCTGCGATGGTGGCAACTGTGGCTCATTGACGGTGACGATAAACCTGAGACAGCTCTGGTCATTCCAAGTCCCTCGCCCTCATGCTCCGCGCAGGCCTGAGGTGCGGCCCTGCACAGGGCAGGGCCCGAGAAACGAACCAGTACCTCCCAGAGGACGGAAGGGAAGTCAGCACGGAAGCCTCACCTAGGGTCATTCCAGGGATTATCCCAGAAAGAGGGGAAGAGCAGCCTCCTCACACCCCGCAACTTCTCACCCGCACATTCAGGATGGGGTCTGGAAAGGGCATGAGCTCTGTAAGCCCCCAGCACTGTTTATACACGCCTGGAAGAGAACAGACTGTTACTCAGAGCCGGAGCGTCCCCACTCCTCTTATGATGAGAAACTGAGGCAAAGACATCAGAAGGCCTTGCTAACAGAAGCCAGGGTCAGAGGAAGACCCAGAACTCAGGATCAATAACATCTGGGCAGGACTCTGTCCACCACACTCCAGCTGAAGTGAGCGCCCAGGGGCAGGTGCAGGCTGAAGAGCTTGCCCAGGGCACTGCCTGCCAGCCGGGGCTCTAGGCAGACCAAGCAACCTTCCCAGGGCTCTCAGGTAAGGGAGACAAGTGAAGCCCCTTGTACCTCCCAAGGGCCAGCATCAGCATTTCTTCATGGTAATGCAAGGGGGACAGTTCCAAAACCCAAAACACCGCTGACACTTCATGGCTAGTGTCAGGCTGGATGACTTTCTGCAGGAGAACCCGTGACAAGAGGGACCGGGAAGCTTTCTTTACAAGCTTGAGGCCTCTGTAAGCGGCCAAGGACGCCATGTCCCGCAAGTCTGAGCAGCATGTGCACAGGACATCTGACGGGCATCGGTGCCCAGCCATCCCACCCCGGCCTTCCATGGCTGCACTCACACCCCACTGCCCACCGTGTTGGCATCCAGCTCCTCCAGTGTGCGAGCCTATGCAGTCTTACCCATGCCAGGCCCTGCGCCACTACATCCTGGAGACACAGAATGAAATAAGACACAGTGCTCATCCCCCAGCAGCTGGCAGAAGGGCCAGTGTCAGCTCGGCAGGAGCCAGGGGAAAGGGGCTCACCAGGGTGGAGGTGAGAGGTAGGTCCCCACATAACTGGCACCGTCCGAGCTTCATCATGAAAGGCGAGTTAATCAGATGAAGATGGGAGGAATGGGTGATCCGGGGAAGAAGCCCCTGAGCAAAGTCCCAGAGATGGGAAGTGGCCGGGGTACACCACAACCCCAGGCAGTCCAGCCAGGTGGATCACCATGGCAGCCAGGTACATCCTGGCTGGGCCGGCACGGGCCCCGTAGCTCTCCCTGTGGCTCCCGCTCCAGAGTCCTGGCTACTGCTGACTCTCTGCCAACCCAGAGAGCCACACACTCACCCAGCCAGGCCGCCCTACCCCAGCTGCCCCCCTCTGCCCCATCTTCTGGTCATGACTCTCCTGCCAGGGACAGAAGACAGAGCCAGTCTGTGGCTCCAGCTGCCTGAGTTCCCTCATCTCTAAGGTGGGCAGGTCACATGCTACCCACGTATCATGGGTGTATATCCTCCAAGCTCCCTGCCCCCCAGCCAGCCTCTCCATCCTCACAAAGCAGCCCCGGCACACCCACAATCCTCGACCCTGTGTCTTCCTACCCCCTAGACAGCAGGTGGCCAAGGGTGCCCTAAGCAAAGCCTGCACTATGCCTGATCTTGTGCAGGTTTTTCAGACTGACAAATCCACCTGCTGAGCCTATGAAGCCCCTGCAGAATCCCACGCTGACCAGGACTCAGGGAGCCTGGCCACCTGAGCGGTCACACAGAGGTCACATCCTGGGCTGCTGTGATGCTCTGGCAAAAGCAGGGCCACCTCACAGCCTTCAGTGAGGCAACAGCCACAGAGGGTGAGGCTAGAGACCCCACTCAGGGGGATAGTGTGGCAGCCAGGCATAGGAGCAGGCTCTGGGAGTATGTGGGGCTATGTGGATCCATGAGCGTCTCCCCAGAGGCCCGGCCTTTTTAAGTCATTTACAGCTTACACTTGGCTGATGCCCAAAAATGACTATAAACAGTTACTGTGTGCAATCAGACCAAGAAAACAAATCAAAAACCAGTAAGAGGGAAACAAAACATCAAAATTTGACCAGAAATTGTATAATTGTGCACCATTTACTATAAACAAATTTGAATTGGAACCTTCGAGAAACTAAGGAACGTTCATAGAGGCGACTCTGTCATCTACACAAGACTACAAAGGCTTCATCATCCTGACAAGCAGCAGCTCCCACTCCAGAGCACAGGCCGGCTAGCACTGCAGAGCCTCTGTCCAGGGCCAGGTAGGGCTAGGGCCCCTGGGGAAGGGACGTGATGAAGATGAGCCTCTTCCTTCCAGCAGGAAAGAGAAAGTGTGGATGCCCCTGAACATCAAATAAGGCTAAGGCATCCTGTGCTTTCAGAGAGAGGCAAACAATATATTGCCAAGAGGTAGGGGAGGGAGGAGTGTCAGAGAAGGAAAAAACACCGTAGTTTGGAGAATTGAAGACTTGCAAGAACACGGGGACACCGGAAATAAACCTGGCCAGAAAGCTGTTTTGCAAGCTAGCTGCACTGCCCTCCAACTGAATCAACGGTATCAGCATGGTGAATAAACAGGTATGCGCTTTCTAGAGTGACAACAGCAGGGTGTCAGTTCCCAACACACCTATTCCGGTACCATTATTAGCAGCCACCGTTGACCAAGCACCTGCCATGTGCCAGGCTGTGAGCTGTCTCATTTCATCTGTTATCCCGGCAGCACAGCTGTGCTATCCCCAGGCCTGCCTGAGCAGGGCCGCAGGGGCCAGCCTCTGGGAGACTAGTCCCACCAGCAGAGGATGGCTTAATCGGGGCTGCTTAACAGTCATCGCCCTAATAAATAAAACCAATGGCCTTAATTTAAAACACATTAACTTAACAGCAGGCTTTCTGTCAGCTGATGAGGCCTAGCTCCACTGCTCAGAACAGGCAAGTAGTTAGAGTGGCCTCTCAGAGTCAGAGCCGTGAAGTCAAGGTCCCTGTGGCTTGCGGGTAAGGCCCTGGTCATCTTGACTTGTCTTCCACAACCCACACGACGGTGTGAGTGGTCCCAGGGCGAAAGATAAGAGCCCTGGATGGGAAGGCTGTGAGGAAGGGCAGCAGGGAGGCCTTCGGGCCCTGCCAGGCGGCCCTTCCAGCAAGCAGGCGGCCGGGCTCCTCCTCCCAGGGAGAGGCCTCCCGCCCCAGGTACAGGCCTGGGAAGCCCTCATCTCACCGCGAGGACAGTCGCGTGCGACAGGCCTGTAAGGTGGCATCCGAGTCCCTCCCGCAATTAAGGACGCCGGGCTCCAGGCCAGCGCCAGGGACAGACCCAGCACCAGGGCGGCCCCCGGAGCCGGCCTCTGGCGGCCTCGGGTCTTTTGCCAAATTCCCCACCGGCGCCAGGATACCGAGGGGCCACCCCCACCACGCGGCTCCAACAGACACGTTTCCCACACTGGCTGCGGAGGCCCGCCGGGTGTGACGGGGACCGGGCGGACTGGAAAGGATGTGGCTGGGGCCCCGGGGAGGACCAGGCAGGAGCGACGGGCCTCCCACGCAGCCTCCCTCCGACCGTGCTGCCGCATCGCCCGTCCCAGCGGCTCGGCCCCGCCTTGTCCAAAGGGCTCATCAAAGCCGGTTTACCGGCGGCCCAGGAAGGAAATGACCGCCCGCCGCAGCCCCGCCGACTGCCTTTCAGTTCAGTGCTTTCGAAACCACAAGGGCGGGCGGGGCTAGAGGAGGAAAAAAAACACCCCGCGGGAGCCTCAGGCTTGGGGGCTGCAGCCGCGCGCACCTCGCCGGCCGGGGGTCGGGCGCGCAGACGCGGTGCAGCGGCGCCCCCAGGCGGCCGCGCGGGGCACTGCACTCGGCCCGTGTGTCGGCCCCGGGCGGGGGAGGGACCGCGCCGCGGAGGAGGGGCCAGCCCCGCCCAACGCCCGACGCCCGCGGCCCCTCCTCTCCAGACGGGGGGCCCCGTGCTGACCGCAGCCGCGGAGCCCGCAGCGCACATCCCGGAGCACAGGACAAAACCTGTGCCTGCACCGGAGCCCCCATCCGGCTCCCGCAACACTGACCCCCCTGGGCAGCCTCGGGCACGGGGCACCTGGAAAGCCAGCCCCGGACACCGCGCGGATTCTGCCTCCCGGAGGTCGGACTGCATCCTCCCGTCCCGGGCGAGGCACATCCAGGAGGAGACAAGGAGGCGAAGCCCCCTAGGATAGGTGAAGACGACAGGCCCTGCCACCTTCGCTGTGGGTATTAGGGTGGGCTACCTCTCAACCGACCCCTCCGAAAAAGACGGGGCTGCTGCTATCACCTCCCTCAAACAGCAGAGGAGGTGCCTGGCTGCTTCTAAAGGCAGCTCGCTGTGGCACTTAGTCACTGCCCCTTTCTGGCCCAGGGTATCAGCTGGACGGGGGACACTACGCCCAGAGCTTCCTTCCTGTTCCGATGTTTGGCGAACCTGCAGCGCTCCCTGAAGCAGATGAGAGGGAAGCTGCACTCCCAGAAAGCGCAGTTTTGGTTCATATTGAATGGATTTATTGGGGGTGTCATCGGCAGGCGGATGACAGATTGTCAGGTGGGCTACAGCCCTGCCCTCATCCCCACACCCACAGCCCCTTGGCAGAGCTGCTAGCGGGGTCCTGAAGTGCCTCCTGCTGCTCTGGGAGCTCCGTAAGCCACCTGCTCTCAGCCTCAGGGATGCCACACCTCTTTCCCCAGCCTCAGCCACGCTCAAGTGAGGCGTCTGCACTTTTATACATTCTAAAGGCCTGAACAGGCCGGGCGCGGTGGCTCACGCCTGTAATCCCAGCATTTTGGGAGGCGGAGGCGGGCGGATCACCTGAGGTCAGGAGTTCGAGCCCAGCCTGGCCAACATGGTGAAACCCTGTCTCTACTAAAAATACAAGAATTAGCCGGGCACGGTGGCGCACGCCTGTGTAATCCCAGCTACTCGGGAGCTGAGGCAGGAGAATCGCTTGAACCCGGGACATGGGACATGGAGGTTGCAGTAAGCTGAGAACACACCACTGCACTCTGGCCTGGGGGACACAGCAAGACTCCATCTTAAAAAGAAAAGAAAAAGGAAATTAAAGAAAAGAAAAGAAAAAGGGGAGGGGAGGGGAACAAATGTTGCTACTATTATTCTCCTCATCAAGACTTCATACTGGTAAACATCCCCTTGCTGACTTCAGGCACATCAGTGTACACGTCAGAAATGTCCAAACCATGTCCTCGGAATATGCCCATTTCTAGCGATGTTGTAACACCTTACAGGGTAAGGAGGGGAAAGTCAAGGTAACTGTTTTTTGGGGTTTTTTTAAGAAAATGCATTTCGGTAAATATATTAAAAAATACCAAATACATGTATGTAGTTGTCCTTAGCAACATGTAATCGTCTCATTATTTGTCATTAGGGAAATGCAGACCAAAACTAAAATGAGATATCACTTCACACCCACTAGAATAGCTGTAATTGAAAAGATGGATGATTACAAGTGCTGGTGAGGATGTGGAGAAATCAGGACCTCCATACACTGCTGGTGGGAATGTAAAATGGTATAGCTACTGAGTTTGGCAGTTCCTCAAAAGGTTAAACAGAGTTAACCATTCCACTGCTAGGTTATACCCCAGTGATGTGACAACATATGTCCACACAAAAACTTCTAAGTAAATGTTCACAGCAGCATTATTCATAATAGCCTCAAAGCGGAAACAACCCAAATGTCCATCAACTGATGAATGGATGATGTGGTTTATCCATACGATGGAATAGTATCCAACCATAAAAAAGGGTGAAGCATTAATGCATGCTACAACATGAACCCTAAAAACACTAGGCTAAAAGAAGCCAGACACAAAAGACCACATATTAGCTGAGCCCACTTGTAGTGAATACTCAGAAGAGACACATTTATACAGAGAGCAAGCTGATTTGTAGTCTCTAGGGGCAGGGGAGACAGGAGGACGGAGGGTGATGCTAATGGATACAGGGTTTCTGAGGTGACAAGTGTTCTAGAATCAGTGGTCATAGCTGTACAACCTTGGGAATACACTAAAAACCACTGGATTGTATACATTAAATGAGTGAGCTTTATGGTACATGAATTATATTTCAATTTTTGTTGCAAAAAAAAAGTAATTATCTATCTTTTTAAAATATGGCCTACAGGAACAAGGAACAGTCAGGAAGTCATGAGGAATGACTGATACCCAAAGCTGGAGCAGTTAATCCGTGCATTGAGGCCCCCACAGATTTTATAAATCCCCGTCGATCAGTGTATTTCATCTATATCATGACCCCAAGGCTCTGCCTTATCATTTCAACACATACTTGCGGGCTTCTCCAGAGTTTATTGTATTTGATACAATACTATACAAAGTTATTCCCCTTAGATCTGTGATCATAAAGTTTTCCATAAGAAACATACATTGGTACACAAACTACTACAGCTGTTTTCATGAGTATATTACAATTTAAAAGAATGCCACTGTTAAATGCATTTGATAAAATATGCACTGTTCTCTAAACACTGCCATATAAAATGTCGGCCTATCTTTTCAAAGAGCCTCTCCCTTCAGGACATGTTTCTTTGATCACCTCTTTTCCAGACCATCATCAAAAGTTTCATTCAGGTGCAAGGTGCCTGCTGCTGTGACAAGCTGGAAAATCCATTGCATTTCCAGGGTCACCTGTTTGTCATTAGCTTCATCAATGAGACAGCCAGCATCAAGGTCAAGGTCTTCACATCCAGGCTTCTCTCAAGCCCCACCAATGAGCTAAGGTATTCAACTTTTCCAAGTCACTCACAGGTTTGCTCTTGCACTCAAAGAAACTCTGAGAATCCCCTACTGCATTTTAACATTTGTCCAGTATTCCTAGTCCTTGGCACATGCTCCTCCTGGAACCCAACCTGTAAGGTAACCCAACCTGTAAAGTGGATGCGAAGGTTTAAAGGGTGTCCCCTGGAATTCATGTGTTGGAAATGTGAGCCCCGGTGACGTTGCTGGGAGGTGGGGCTTTTATGAGCTGATGAAGTCATTAAGAGGGATTCATGCCTGTCTCCCAGGCCTGGGTTATATCTCTTGGGAGGGAGCGAGTTCTCACTCTCACTCACGGCACTGGATGAGTTACCAAGAGTGGCTGTTATAAAGCCAGGCGCCCCTCACGCTGTGCCCCTTCTGCATGCCTCTGCTTCCCTCCCCAGAAGCTGTCACCATCCTCTTGGACTTCCCGGCCTCCAAAACCTCAAGCTAAATAAATATCTTTCCTTTCTAAATTACCCAGTCTCGGGTATTGTTATGGTGAGAGAAAACAGACAAGGATCATGGGGGATGTGCAGTTTCCTTCTTCCTCCTATTTGTCACCAGGAAATGGAGCAACCCAGTCTCAGGCTCTGAAAGAGGCTGAGGTTTGAGGGAAAAGGGGCAGATCACTGAGAACTCTTCTAGGATATCCTGGGTTTAATCACTATAGTTATTAGTCAACTATAAATATTTATTGAGAACAGAGAATGTGCCAGAAACAGTGCTGAGACTATAGTGTCGACGGGAAAAAGAGGAAGCACCCCTTCTTCATTGTTCTGTGCTTCTCTATGGAGGATGCTCTCCTGGACAAACACTCCGGCCTGTTGCTCCCTGCCCCATCCTCCTCTCCTCCTTGCACACTAACTCCTCCTTAAGGCAGGAGGATCTATGTATGCAGAACCTGCCCATCCCTGCAGGGAGGCAAGCAGCTGCCAGAGCTGTCTGTGCCTCCAGAAGTCTGTCCAGTTCTTGTGTCCCAGGTTAAGAGACTGCTTGCCCGCTCTATCATTTCCAACTCAGGCCAAGAAATAAGGATGGCATCTATGGGGTTCCCGTAAACCTCAATAGATGAAGGTAGGTAAGGTCTCTGCCTTCTGGAGATTACCTTCCAGGAGGGAGACAGAGAGACTACAAACAAGTTAACAGGATAGTTACTTGCTCAAACATGCAGAGCACACTCCAACCTGAGGCCCACACACTTGCAGGTGCCTCGGACGGAGTCCCGCCCAGAGGGCTGTGGCTCCCTCACTTCCTTCAGGCTCTGCACAAATGGCACCTTATCCGTGGAGCCATCCCTGGCCACCCGTGCACCACGGCGAACAACTCCCCACACTGACAACCACACACTTGCTATCTCTGCAGCCTGCTTTATTTCTCTCTGTAGAATTGATCACAATCTGACTCACTCCATATTTATTTGTTAAAAATCCATCTCCTATACATTCCCTGCAACCCCAGAATTTAAGCTCCATGAAGGCAGAAACTTGTTCTGTTCCCTGCTGTTCACAAGTACCTAGAACAGTGTCTGGCACAGGATATGCACTTAACAACACCCTATGAATGAATACATGAAAAAATGAATACATGCTATAAAAGACATGCACAGCCGGGCGTGTTGGCTCACAACTGCAGTCCAACATTTTGGGAAGCTAGGGCAGGAGGATCACTAGTTTGAGACCAGCCTGGGAAAGAAGGTGAGATCCCATCTCTACAAAACAGTTAAAAAAAATTAGCTGTGCATGGAGGCACATGCCTGTAGTTCTAGCTACTGAGGAGGCTAAGGCAGGAGGATCCCCTAAGCCCAGGAGTTTGAAGCTACAGTGAGCTGTGATCACACCACTGTGCTCTACTCTAGCCTGCGCGGCAGACAGAAACCCTATCTCAAAAAAAAAAAAAGAGTAAAAGAAAAGGCCAGGCACGGTGGCTCACATTTGTAATGCCAGCACTTTGGGAGGCCAAGGCAGGTGGATCACCTGAGGTCAGGAGTTCATGACCAGCCTGGCCAACATAGTGAAACGCCATCTCTGCTAAAAATACAAAAATTATGTGGGCGTAGTGGCAGGCACCTGTAATCCCAGCTACTTGGGAGGCTGAGGCAGGAGAATCGCTTGAAAGGAGGCAGAGGCTGCAGTGAGCCAAGATCGCACCCTTGCACTCCAGCCTGGGTGACAGAACGAGACTCCATCTCAAAAAAAAAAAAAAGAAAAAAATGCACAAGGTGATGGGAAAGATGAAGGCTGGCATGAGGCTTGCGTTAGACAAGAGATTCGGGGAAGGTCTTTCTGAACAGTTAAGATTTGAGCTGATAGCACAAGGCAAATACCACAAAGAAGCAATATTGCTGTGCTCCATGGAGGCCATACAAGCAGTGGCTGGTGGGCCCCACCGCCTCTGCAGAGAGCTGGCCAGCATGGGGAAGGAGAGGAGACATGAGAGGCGCCTTGAGGCCTGTTCACTGTGATCATTTTCCCAGAAGTCAGTAGAGTAGAACCATGTGATGAGACTGGACCCGAAACAATACACACAGCAGCACTGGGCTAAACTGGAGTAAATGCGACCCAGCAACACAGATGTGATGGCCCCAGCCCCGGCAGCCATCCTGGACCACGAAGACAGCGCCACCCTCAGGGATGGTGAAACACAGAGCTGGAAGGAGCCGAGGACCGTGGTGGCTTCACGAAGCCCCCATGCCAGCCCAGAAATGCCTACCTCTGGACTGCATTGAAACGAGACATAAATTCAACCTTGTTTAAGCCACCATTATTTGGGGGTTTCATGGTATATTCTGTCAAACCTGATCTGGCAGGAAAGGCACATGGAAGGGATAAGTCTTGATCTAAGTTTTACAAGTGTGAGACTGCACTTGACAGAAAGACAACAGATGCTCAGAAGCAGAGCAAGCAAAGCGCCATGAGAAGAATTCAGGAAGCTCAGCCACTGCTGTGGGTCTAGGACATTGAAATGACCTGGGAGGACAGGTAGCCAGAAGCCACTGGAGGTTCTGAATGGAAGCGATACAATAAAGGCAGCATTCTGGCCGGGTGCGGTGGCTCACGCCTGTAATCCCAGCACTTTGGGAGGCTGAGGCAGGTGGATCACGAGGTCAAGAGATCGAGACCATCCTGGCCCACATGGTGAAACCCCATCGCTACTAAAAAATACAAAAACTAGCTGGGTGTGGCGGTGGGTGCCTGTAGTCCAGCTACTCCGGAAGCTGAGACAGGAGAATCGCTTGAACCCGGGAGGCAGAGGTTGCAGTGAGCCGAGACCGCACCACAGCACCCCAGCCTGGTGACAGAGCAAGACTCTATCACAAAAAAAAAATAAAAGAAAAAGACAAAAAAAAGGCAGCATTTTAGCAAGGTGAATGTGGCAGCCTTTCCCAGATCAGCACAGCCAAAATAGCCTGGATGGAAGAGTCACAGTCAAACAGTTCCTGAACGCCCACTGTGAGCCAGGCATCATGCTCCCCACGGAAGGTTACCCAGAGGACAGGATGCCTGAACTGGGTCTTAGAGACCAGCAGGAGAGCACTCCTGGATTTCTTACAGCAGTGACGCCCAAGCCTGCCTCTGTAACTCCATCCAAATACAGACTTCCAGGCCCCACCCAGGAGATTCTGAGCCCACAGGCTGGGGTGGGGCCCAGGATTCTGTATTTTCAAGTGTCCCCAGGTGATTCTGATGCATTTAGAAAATGGACTTACTGTATAGGCTAGAAGCAGCTCCTCCTATACTGGTACCTGGAACATAGCAAGCTCTGAAGTTTACTGATTAACAAATAATATGCTTCCCTGTTCACAGATAATAAACTAACAGATTAATTAAAACCTTCAAACATATTTAAAACAAGATACATGAATCCTTTTTAGCTAATATCCAATTAGCCAAAATAAAATCTAAGGTCACTAATAATGTTCTGTGATCTATTTCTGCAACCATTTCAGCTACAAGGTGTTTCTATGCCACTTGAAAATGGCCTGAGACCTCGGTGTGTGGGCACCAGCCCCGTGCCAGTTCACTGTGGCCCTGCTCTGCATCTTGCAGCCATGCTGAGGTCCCAGAGCCAACTGAAGGGAAGAGGAGCCCCCAGGCTATCTTCAGACAGTTCTAACACCACTCAAATCAATTCTCCCTGGGAATAAACTGCCCCCTGGACTTTACAAGACAGAAGTGCTCCTTAAAGGGGAAATACAGCACAAAGGGAACAGCACTGACCTAGGATGCAGGTCCAGCCACAACTGAGTAACTTCTCCAGAAAGCCTTGGGCGAGTTTCCTCACCTGTCATGCTATATACTCCAAATCCCTTCCAGCTCTGGCACAGCCAGAGTGAGAAATTCTAGTTTCCTTCTTCCGAGTCAATACTGAAAAAACAATTCCAGTATAAAATTCCCTCATCTGTCAGGTGCTAGGGAGGCAGCATTTAAGACACGTCAATGTCAGTGCCCTTAAGGAGTTTAGAGTCTAGCAAGGAAGACAAATAATTACTCCAACGATTATATAAATACAACTGTGATAAATGTTACTAAGGAACAGTGCTTGGAGTTTGAAAGTGTGTAATGGGGGCTCAGGAAAGGTTTACCAAGGAAAGAACACCAAAGCCGAGACCTGAAAGCTGAGTACCAAGGATGGAGGCAGGGAGAACTCCAGACAGAGGAAAGGCATGTGACATATGTTCTTTTCAGGAATATTCCAAACCTGAGGAAGAATTAAATCACAAGTAAAATGAAGCAAACCTTTTAGAATCGCACATTTAAAGGAAAAAAAGAGCACTTTTCATCACAAACAGAAAAATTTACAAAATATGAACTCAAAAATCATGGGAATGCCAGGTGCAGTGGTGTGTGCCTGTAATCCCAGCTATGCAGGAGGCTAAGGCAAGAGAATTGCTTGAGCTCAGGAGTTCAAGACCAGCCTGGGCAACATAGCAAGAATTCTTATCAAAAACAAAACAAAACAAAGTAACGGAGGCCAGGCGCGGTGGTTCACGCCTGTAATTCCAGCACTTTGAGAGGCCAAGGTGGGTGGATCACCTGAGGTCAGGAATTTGAGACCAGCCTGGCCAACATGATGAAACCCCATCTCTACTAAAAATACAAAAAATTAGCCGGGCGTGGTGGCGGGCGCCTGTAATCCCAGCTACTCAGGAGGCTGGGCCAGGAGAATCACTTGAACCTTGGAGGCAGAGGTTGCAGTGAGCCGAGATCACACTGTTGCACTCCAGCCTGGGCGACAAGAGCAAAACTCTGTCTCAAAAAAAAAAAAACAAAAAATTTAGCCAGCGTGGTGGTGGGCACCTGTAATTCCAGCTACTCGAGAGGCTGAGGCAGAATCGCTCGAACCCAGGAGGCAGAGGTTGCAGTGAGCTGAGATCGTGCCACTGCACTCCAGCCTAGGCAACAAGAGCGAAACTCCATCTCACAAAAAAAAAAAAGAAGTAACGGGAGCAATTTTATGCCAGGACTGATAACCCCTTATCCAATCACTGACATCTGGCTAGAAGTCCCCAGACACTAAACCCTCACCCCTCAACAGAGGAGGTATCAGTTCCCTCTGGTCATTTGCAGCTGCCTCCAGGCCTTGAGTGAGGCTGCCAGAACTGGGCCCAGTAAAGTGGGGTAGTCCGAGCATGAAACACTTACTCCAAGACAGGAGGGGCTCGGCCCTGAGGCTGGATCTACCCCTGGGCCAATATTTCTGGTGCCAACTAAGAGTGCCAGGCATTGTACATAGGGATGGATGATAAGACATGATACAGTCACAGCACCAGGGAAGTAGAAAAGGAAAGAAGGGACGCTTCCTTGGCTCCAAGGAGGGGATGGTATCTGAAGATGGGCAAGACTTGGAGATGGAGAGAAGGAGCACCCCAACAGTGGGAATGACAAAAGCAAAGGCAAGTAGGCTGGAAAGCACTGGCTGTGCAGCTAGCGCTGCAGCGGGAGCTGGGGACAAGGGGACAGAGATCCGGCAACGGTGCAGAGTAGGCCCAGAAGAGATGACAATGCTATCTTCAAGGCGGTGTTTGGAGACCTGGTCAAATCCCAAGATCTGCCCAGACTGACCCTATGGCCAAGGGCCCTCAGTTTTCTACCGTGAACTAGTGCAAAGTTTCTCAAATATTAGGGTCATTAGGATCACCTGGGACAGGTTGCCAGGCTCCTCCTCCAGCGAGGACCTTCAGAGGTCCCAGGGTCTAGGGACTTTCTCAGGAGAGGTGAAAGCTGAGTAAAGAATGGCCAAGGGCCCAAGAGGACACTGTGGGCAGACAGTACAGCATGTATAAGGCCCACTCCCTACATAGCTAAGGTATGAGGTGCATGTAGACAAAGGAGGAGAGGTGAAGCCAGAGAAGTGGACCAGGCTCACAACACAACAGCCCTACCAATAAACTGGGACTTCACCCCGTAGGCAACAAGGAGCTATCAGAGACTCCCGAAGCCTGTAGGATCCTGGCAACAGCTCCCCTAGTCACTCACATAATACAACTCCTGTCTCAGCATGCTTCCCCAACCAACATCAGTCTCCACCCTTTAATATTACCTACTACTCCTTAAAATCTGGCCTCGGATCCCCTCTGTACAACTATTAGGTCAAAATCAAATAAGCAATTTGACCTAGGCAATTCACACTATGTCAGAAACACATCTCAGACAAGGAGAGCCAGGCAGTGAAGACAGATGATAAACAGAGATGGAAGCTGTCATGGAGGCAGACTGGTCCAGCCTGGGACAAGGCGGCCAGCTGTGCTCTCCCCAGATCATATCTGTTCCTCTTGAGCTTTCTCTTCCTCATTCGGAGGAACTCCAGGCTTCTCTAAATGGGTTCATGACCCTTGGAGGAAGGGGAAAAAGGGACACAGAGAGGAGATAAGATGGTTCACAATGAGTTTGACCAGATCCTACTGAAATACCTTAAGAGCAATGAGAAGTGTCACTGCAACTTCAACACTTCCAGAGGCCTCACCAAGGCCCTCTCCAGTTGCTCAGGATGACTACTGGTGACCAGTCCCATCCTCAGAAGTCAAAAACTGAGGAACATAAACAGAGGTGCAGACTCTGAAGGCAGTGCTGAACCCTGCAACGTTAGCAAAATGGGGGCGCGCGGACTCTCCTGGGGGCTGCGCTTAACTGGGGGAGAGGAAAACGAGGCGGTCATTAAAAACGCAGCTCCACTCCTCAGCACCAGCTGAGGGCGTCTGGCTCCCGGACACGCCCCCGAACGAGCCCTCCCGCAGGTTGTGAACACTACATTGCAAGCGGGCAGCTCAGGGAAGATCCTACCCGCTAGTTCCCCGGATCCCCTCCGGGAGCGCAAACTGACCTCGCCTAGGATGGGGTGGGCCACCCACCGGGAGCCCCCAGCCGCGGCCCGCTCACCTTGCACTTGAAGCCAGCGGCGGGCGGCAGGAGCTCCCGCAGCAGGCCCTTGGCCACCTCGCGGCTGGCCTCCTCGCTCACGAAGTGAAGGTTAAGCACCTCGTGCGCCTCGAACTTGGCGAGGCGCAGCAGTGAGCGCAGCGCGACGCGGGCCTTGGCCTGCAGCGCGGCATTGTGCTCCGCCTTGGTGAACATCATCAGCAGGTGGTAGTCCACCGGCCCGGCACCGCCGCCCTCCAAGCTCTTGGCCTTCGCGCCGGGGGCTGGCGCCACGGAGCCCCGCGCTAGCTCCAGCGCGGGCGGCGAGGGCGCGGCGGGAGCCCCGGCGCGGGCCTCCTTCAGCCTCTTGGTGGCGCTGGAGAAGGTCTCCCGGCCTGAGCCGAGGTAGTAGAAGGCGCAGACGGCCAGCGCCGCGGCCAGCAGCAGGGCGCAGTAGTGGGAGCGCACAGCGCCCAGGCGCGCCATGGCCCGAGCGCATGGGAGCCCGCCTCGGAGGAGGCCCATGCGCTACGAGACCGCGGCGCCAGCGGTGCCAGCAACGCGGGAGAGCCCTCGGGTACCCGGACGCCGGCGGCCACTTAGCCCCGGCGCCAGGCGGCGGCCATGAAAGGGGCGGGGCCGCGCCGCCTGGAGCCAATCGCGGGCGCCGGTGCGCGGAGGGGCGGGGCCGGGCGTGCCGAAACCGCTGGGTCCTAGGTTCCAAGGGTATTAGAGGAGGGGTTAGGGTGGGATCCGGCGCCCGGCGTTGGGAGGGGGGGATTCCGGACTCCAGCGTGCTGAGGGCTGGCCCGCTGTCCCGGCTGAGAAATGGCGCCCTACGCGGCGAGCCCCAGAGGATATCCAAGCTGAGTGTTGAAGGGAATGGAGGCGCCCGAACAGAGGAACTTAGGTTAGCCAAAAGCGAAGCTGGAGGCACCAAGAGGTAAAACTTTAATCTCTGCACCTTTTTTCCCTCAATTTCTTGGAGGCTTTAAGCCGTCTCGGCCTCTCCCTGCACACGAGCTGCAGCTAGGCAATTTAAACCGGCAGCTCCTCCCTTTTCCCCCGCCCTGGGAGGAAATGGCCCGGGCCGCACGTCGCGCCGGAGGCCGAGCGGAGGGAGGCTGGAGGATGTGGCCAGCAGGGGGCCCCCGCCGCCCGCACGAACCTGCGAGGCTGCTCCCCGAGCCCCAGCACCGCAAAGCCCTGGAGGGCGACATTCATCCACTTTTGTTTTATAAACAGACTTTTAACACTTTATCAAGAGCCTCCTTGAGGGTACCAGGGAGTTTTGCACGCCGAGGTCACGTGCCCAAAGTCACACAGCTAGCCAGTAGCAATTTTGACCCTAGGCAGTTGCACACTGCTAACTAGATAAAAACGTACTAACTTCAGTCTTCTAAGAATTGAGGCTATACCAGTAGTTTTTAAGTAAACACGTGCAAGTGCTGTGCATGCTGTCTAAATAGACAAAGAACTTGAGTAAGTACAGTAACCCTTCAGTTCTTTGGCCAAGTTCTCTGATTTCTGACCAGAGATTAGGTAAACGGTTTTTCCTGTTATTTCCACATTGTAAGGTTGCATGGATTATCCAACCTCTCTGCTTCAGACCTTGGCTTACATGTCACTACCTACACAAATGATCTCTAAATACCTCCTATCCAGTGTCTGGGCTAAGTGCCATCCTCAATAATTCTGTGAGGGCCACCTAAATATATGTACTACCCTAGTCTCATCTTTCTTCATTGCAAGAACACGTGACTCCAAGAGAACAGAATATACATTTGTTTTTTATTAACCACAATATACCCAGTACCTAACACGGTGCCTACCACATTGGATGAGTCTCAAAAATATACTCAACCATTGAAACAGCATTTTTATTTCTAGAAAATCTTCCTAATAATTTAAGAATGTTCAAAATATTTAACCATAAGAATAAAGCAAGGCCAAGCATGGTGGCTTAGGCCGGGAATGGTGGCTCACGCCTGTAATCCTAGCACTTTGGGAGGCCGAGGAGGGCAGATCACCTTAGGCCAGGAGTTCGAGACCAGCCTGCCCAACATGGCGAAACCCCGTCTCTACTAAAAATACAAAAAATTAGCCAGACATGGTGGCGGGCGCCTGTAATCCCAGCTACTCAGGAGGCTGAGGCAGAAGAATCGCTTGAACCTGGGAGGTGGAGGTTGCAGTGAGCCGAGATCATAACACTGCACTCCAGCCTGGGCGACAAGAGCAAAACTCTGTCTCAAAAAAAAAAAAAAAGTAGGCAGTGTGGTGGCGGACACCTGCAATTCCAGCTACTCGAGAGGCTGAGGCAAGAGAATCGCTTGAACCTAGGAGGCAGAGGATGCAGTGAGCCGAGATCATAACACTGCACTCCAGCCTGGGCGACAAGAGCAAAACCCTGTCTCAAAAAAAAAAAAAAAGTAGGCAGTGTGGTGGCGGACACCTGCAATTCCAGCTACTCGAGAGGCTGAGGCAAGAGAATCGCTTGAACCTAGGAGGCAGAGGATGCAGTGAGCCGAGATTGTGCCTCTGTACTCTAGCCTGGCGAAAGAGAGCGAGACCCTGTCTCAAAAAACAAACATAAAAATAAAGCAAAGCTAGGTTCATGATGGCAAAAAATCAGAATCAAATGGTCATCAATAAAGTGGTTAAAGCTAAAATAATGCAGTCATTAAAAGTGATGTTTTCAACAAACTGCAGGTGGAAATTTAAAAAACTAACAAATGGGTGAGGTGGCTCATACCCGTACTCCAAGCTATGTGGGAGACTGAGGTGGGAGGATCACTTGAGCTCAGGGGTCCAAGGCTGCAGTGAGCTACGATCGCCACAGGACTCCAGCCTGGATGACAGTGCGAGACCCCAATTCCAAAAAAAAAATAGTAATGGTAACAAATGGAAAAAAAAACCTACAGAGACTAAGAAACATATTCACCAACTGCAACGTATGGAACTTATGTGAATTCTGATTTGCACGATCTATTTTAAAAATCGTATTTGAGAAACCAATTTGAATATTGATTATGTAGTTTTACAGTTTAAGAAGTGTTACGATTTTTTAAAGTCCTCAACTTTTAGATGTACATACGGAATGATTTGCTGGTGAAAGGTCTAGGATCTGGTTCCAAAAAGTCCAGGAAAGGGGAAAAATGGGTAGGAGAACAAATATAAGCCATGAGCTTATAGCTATTGATTTTCTCTACCTGTACATGCTTGAAATTTCCCATAAAGTTCTCCCCATCTATTAAGTGAAAGAAGTGGGTAACTGTATGATCCCATTATATAAATGTATGAATACACACACCCAAAGGTCTAGAAGGGTATACACAAAAAAGTAACAGTATCTCCCTCAGTGCTATCCAGTAGAACTTCCTGTGACAATGTATATATTCTACAATCTCCCCTGTTCAAAACAATAGTCACTAGCCACATGGGGCTATAAAGTTCTTAAAATGTAGCAGTACGACTGAGGAAATGAACTCTTTGTCTAATTCCAATTAAGTAGCCACATGTAGCTAGTGAGTTCCATTTTGGACAGCACAAGATAATGGAATTGTGGATGATTCTCTTGCTTCTTCTTAACATTTCTCCACAAGCAAAAAGCTTTGTGTTTGCAATAATTGAAAAATTAAACTGTTTTCACTTAAAATATTTATAGACTATTGATGTGGGTTCTCCACAGAACTATTCTGAAAATGAAATGAAGCTGAATAAAGCAAGTTATATTGAAAAGTTTATGTGTCTGCTTTCAATTAGCTTTTTTTTTTTTAAAGCAAATGCAGGTGATACACTTCCAGTTTGGTTTTTTCAACCTTCCATTCCTTCAGTCCCAATTCACTGACAAACGTGTGTGTGTCTGTTTACTAAAAGGATAAAATGGGAATGTGCTGCATAGATTAGGAACATTAATGTCAATCATAATGGAAAAAACTTAGAGCAAGCCCCTCCCCCCACCCCCCAAAAAAAACCTTTTATCTTTTTGCCAATGAATTAGGGGCTATAACAGCTCTGTGAACAAAGAGAATTATATACTTAAAAGATCCAAATGGATTTCTTGATTGAAGTAATCAGCAAATAGGATGAATGTGGATTTGAAAGGGCTGGGAAGAAATACCTTAAAAATAATAGTACCTTAAAAATAACTGCTGTTGACAGATATGTTCACAGTGTATTTCACAAGAAAATGTAAATCACCATGAAAGAACTAAGCCAGAGGTGAGATCTTTATTGACTTATTGTAATTTTTTGGCATACAAATTACTTAAGTATATTTACAATTCTTACATAATGTACATTTTAGAAGATAATGTACTTTGCTCCATTTACAATGACAAACTACTGTAAAACTACATTCATGAATTAGATACAAATCCTCTACATACTAATAAAAAGTAAATGGACTGTTGGTTATACATTCTTTAAAATATACCTTTTCACAGGTAGCAAGAAATAGTACATGTAATAAGTCTTTATGACTGGAATGATCCAGAAATATCACAAAGCATGAGTAAACACATATATAAAAGTAGCTCATCATTTCCAAAAGTTAACCTTTAGCCTTTGTGTAAAATAAATGGTGCCAACAATCTTTATAATGTAGCAAGCTTTCCCTGTTTAATATCCAAAAAATGGAGGGTGGGGAGGTTGAAGAAAAATAAGAAAAGTTAGCAAATAAGATAGTGAAAAGACCAATGCAGAGAAAAGTTTATGTAATCAAATCTTGCTTTGTCTCCACATTATCACATTTTAAGTGGATAAATTTATGTAAACAGAAAAAGATGTCCACAAAACCATATCTGTAGATGTCATTTGGAAGCATCAAGAAATTGATAAGTATGTGGTGAATTAAAATTACTTTTATAATGTTTTGCTTTCATTAATGTTTGTTATTGCAAAAATGTAAGATTTCCTACAATTTTGTCTTCAAATCCCAATCTAGCCCTTCAAACTTTTATCCAGGTTCTCCAGAATATTTGGAGTCTTTGTTATCAAAGCACAAGGAAAGCTGGCATTCATTATCAGACTTCGCTGCTTTACAATGATTTCAAATCATTTCATGATACAAATAAAGTGCCTCTGACTGGTGGTCAGTCAGACCTGGGTAATGGTGCCAATTCTGCCACCAGCTAGCAAATCAAGTGACCCTGCTCTGTAAAACAAAAGGAGCACCCTAGGATCAAAAAAGTAGACAACTTTGGAGCTTAGATTAAGATCTCAGAAATCCTACCATGAGAATCCAGTGAGATAAAGCAATGCCAAGTACACTGTAAGTAGCAAAACAGTATACAAAGGGATGCTTCTATATTTTCACCTTGTTTCATTACACTCATTTTAATTGTGAGGAGCCCTGAATCCAAAAAGGGTAGTGACGACTAGTCCAGTGCTCCTTCCACCGTATCATGCGGTTCTAAAGTCATTCTGGACATACAATCTACAAAAATACATCATTTTTCCAGCTCATGTCCATGATCCAAAGTGATATTATACACAAGTGTTATCTGACAATATAAGAATGATCTGGGAATGTCTGTTCAAAACGGTAGTAAATTTAGTCTTAAACACAATTTCATTTACTGCGACCATACTTAACATGCATAAAATATTTTTAAAATACAAACTTAAATTGGCCAGATTCTGAATGTGTACTTTTTTTCTTTTTCAAAATGCACTCATGAAGAACCAAAGTTCATATTCCAAATTAAATCTGTATGTCTGGAAAAGTAACCAATCAAAGTTCATTAAAATATACAGTGAAAACCGGTATAAATTAGGCAAACACCATAATCTAATGAATATCAGGAAATTTCTGAGTTTCTAAGGATTGTATTAAAGGTAACTTTTTAAAACCTTAGAAATCTTAAGCACATAAATGTTATAATGAAGCATTTGCAAATGACTGCTCAATTACTTTTATTCTAGCTCTAACATGAAATTGCATTTTATTAACTCTTCATAGTGCTGCTATTCTTATTTTGATATTAATCTAACTTTCAAGTTAGTAAGCTAATGATAATGAGCTAACAGATTAATAATAAGGAATAAGAAACTAATAATAGCAGATAAGTTATGGAAAGAAAATAAAAGGCCAATCACATTGACTAATGAAGCCCAAAAGCATGATTAACTAAGATTTCTTATAATGCACTGAATAATTCACAGCATAACATAATTCAGATTTGTTACATACCATATAAAAGCTATTAGTTGACATGGCTAAATTCACCTAAGAGCCAACCTACCTTGTAACTATTAATTTAATTTAAAGCCTTGCTGTTTACTCCATCATTTCTGCCAAATGTAGTCCAAATTGGGTCTCAGCATATTCAAGAAATCAAGCCACAGAAATGTGTACTTGTATTGCTAGGCTCCCTGCAATATTAAAGATTTTGCTTTCTCTGAAGATATTCTGAACCATGATCATCTTTAAGGCACTTCAAATACATTTCTGACCACTAAATTTAAGTAGATACTAATTAATTACTGCCATATTAACAATTCATCACGTAAGCCACAGGAGGCAAGAGTCTCATAAGGAATTGCCTTCACAACCACAGAGATTCCAGAGGTGATCTGAATGAAACACGCACCAATGGCCAGATCCAAAAGGAAAACTACCTAGACTTCCTCAGATAAAAGTCAGGATCTTTAGGAATTAAAACAGGAAGGGACACTATAAAGGAAAAGTGAGGTTTTTTCTTTTTCTTTAACGTACTTCTTTTCTTTGAGCTTCTTGGTCAAATAATTTCAAGGTACATGCTAATAAAAACTACAAATCAGATTTTTGCCTTTAGTGAAGGTGCCTAAAAAGCCAGATGATCTATGACTTTGAGGTGAAACAGCAAAGATAAAGATTTAATGTTCCTGTTATTGTTATAATTAAATACAATGCTGTGGAAGTTAGCATTTCCTCAGAAGTAATTCACAAATATATTTTTATCCTTATCTAACATACAGTGACCATTACTAAATAAGCATTACATGCATGCAGTTTGGCCAAATTATGGAACCTTTTCTGTAATGTGAACTTATTTCAATATAATTCCTGCTTGGCTAGATTCTGATTTGATGTTTAATCAACTTATAAAACCCTAGTGACTGGGAAATGTTAGAAAATTTATCTATAATTGGATCATAAAGTTTTTATATATTTTAAAACCTCTTATTTAGAAAGAGTATCAATAATATCATTTACATATAATTTCTAAAAGAAGAATAGACTTAATTGTTGACAACAATGGGAAGGAATCAAAAGGCAAATTAGGCTGGGTGCGGTGGCTCACGCCTGTAATCCCAGCACTCTGGGAGGCTAAAGCAGGCTGATCACCTGAGGTCAGGAGTTCGAGACCAACCTGGCCAAAATGGTGAAACCCGTCTTTACTAAAAATATAGAAATTAGCTCGGAATGGTGGCGGGTGCCTGTAGTCCCAGCTACTCGGGAGGCTGAGGCAGGAGAATTGCTTGAACCCAAGAGGAGGAGGCTGCAGTGAGCTGAGATCGTGCCACTGCACTCCAGCCTGGGTGACACAGCAAGACGCCATCTCGGGAAAAAAAAAAAAAAAAAGCAAAT
The DNA here is from genome assembly GCF_000001405.40 of Homo sapiens. Lineage (NCBI taxonomy): Eukaryota > Metazoa > Chordata > Mammalia > Primates > Hominidae > Homo > Homo sapiens. The sequence goes on from NC_000003.12 coordinate 195,278,107, forward strand.
TAATTATTTTATACTTTAAGACATTTTCAAAGATGGAATCAGACTAATTTGTAGCATATAAATGGTAATGTTTATCCATAATATTTTGGAATTCAGGGGTCTGTGAATCATGTAACCGAATACTAAAGCTATATACACGATATAATTTAAAAGAATGTACACTGTGTACAAGTACACAAAATAGATGTAGAAAAAATAAACAGCAATTTATTGCTATATATTTTAGTATTAACTAAGAATAAGTGGGGTTCTTTTTCTCCTTTGTACAGAGATTTTTCTTTCACTAGGAGCAACAGCAAAACTATCTTTAAAAGGACAAATTTCAAATATAAAAATGGCCTACATGATTTTATAAATTGATTTTTCCTTTAAAGTTTTGATGAAGGCATAATTTTGTGACATTCAAGTAACCTTTAAAACATACTTTTATTCCATCGATACATCTGTCAAGGTTTTGGGGAATCAACCCAACAATGAAGAACTACACATTTTGAACTGGGGTTTTTTTTTGTGATTAAAAAAAAAAAAGAGCTTCTTTTTGCTGCATAAAATAAATCTAAAGGACTGAATTATGGTCTACCTGTACAGCCATTATACATACATACATTAAAGTACTGGACAATAACCTGTCACCTAAGAAGTATAACCGACCGCATTTATGAACAAACGGGGAAAACACATTCTCTAGTTCTAATAAATCATATATTATGTGTATGAAAGCTAGGTTACCAAAAACACATCAACACACACACCTATTTCTGAACCACCAAAAAGCCTCAGGGAAGCTAAAGAAAACACATATTCTTGAGGCAGGCAGGACAGTTGGCTTCCACTTGATGAAGACATGCTTGACTGAGTGATCCTGGGCAAGATGCATGGAGGAAAAAAATCAATGCCACCACCCATTGGCAAAAGAATCACTTTTGTCTAACCTCCTATCATCTTGTAACCTAGAGATGGCCTAAATCTAGACTGAACTTCTGTCTACAGAAATAGCCCTTTAAATAGGCTTTTTTAATAAAAGAGGTCCTAAACTAGGTTCCTCTCCTACTACTAGATAACTATGTTTTAATTTATAAATATATGAATGGGTACCTCTTTTCCAAGCCATTCAATATCTACCAAAATTAAGTAGAATTAAAGCAGTAAAAAAATTGTGATTTTTTAGCTGTATACATTAGGGGGTCACCAGATTTCATATTTTCCCATTTTTAAAAAAATTCAGAATTTCTGTGAATCTTGCTGGAAACGATTTAGTTTCTCTGGATTATTGGATGCCATTTGGGAAAAATCACGAAATATGTCCTGATAAGTTTCATCACCTGCATGAAATAAAATAAAGACACTTTAAACATTTACACAAGTATTAATCAAACAACATTCATATTTATTACTAGTACTATTTTATAATTCATTACATTAAAATTTTGTTCAGATGAGCATTTTTGGAAGAAAAGGGGCAACTAAAAATAAATGCTGAAAAATTATGCAATGAAAGAAAAAAAAAAACTATACCTGAAAAAAGCACCTCAGATGCAGCCACAGAAGAAAGCTCAGAGTTAGAAAAGAGCAAAGATGCAAGTGTTTTAAAGCAATGTAAAGAAATACGTTTATTAACACACGGGGGGGAAAAGTCATTCTAAATGAGGTGGAGTAAATGAGACCTTCTTTAAATAAATATTTCCCTTGATAAAGGCCAAAAGAAATGACTAAAACCAAATACTAATGTTTTGGATGGATGCAAGTTATTAACAAGACAAACTGATAATCAAGACAAACTGATAATCAGATAGGGAAAAATAATACTATCTTTTAATTAAAAGCAATTTGAAAAAGTAATTTTTTACTCAAACTTTAATGCGTAATTAAAACTAATGCACCTAATCCACTGCTTCCTAAACTCATAAAATAAAAATCTAGCTGGGTGCAGTGCCTCACGCCTATAACCCCAACACTTTGGGAAGCTGGGTGGGGGGGTTGGGGGGAGAATTGGTTGAGGCCAGGAGTTCAAGACCAGTCTGGGCAACATAGCGAGACTACATCTCTACAAAAATTAACAACAAAATCCTAGAAAATGGCTTTAAGGCCAGGTGTGGTGGCTCATGCCTGTAACCCCAGCACTTTGGGAGGCTGAGGCGGGCAGATCACCTGAGGTCAGGAGTTTGAGACCGCCCGGCCAACATGATGAAACCCTGTCTCTACTAAAAATACAAAAAGTAACCAGGCGTGGTGGTGGGCACCTGTAATCCCAGCTACTCGGGAGGCTGAGGCAGGAGAATCGCTTGAACCCGGGAGGTGGAGGTTGCAGTGAGCTGAGATCGCACCACTGCACTCCAGCCTGGGCAACAGAGCGAGACTCTGTTTCAATAAAAAATAAAAAAAAGAAAATGGCTTTAAAATCAGTTTTGCATTTAAAAGTTGGGTTTGTTTTTGTTTTACTGCAGGTCATATGAGCAAGAATGCTATGACAAAATGCAAATAAATACCAAGGACATCTGTTAAATTAGAAAAATAAACGTGTATATGTACAAATATGTTTACCGAGAAATAGATTATAGATACTGATATTATAGCTGACTGAATACCATTTTTCTTGTCATGAGAAACTAAATATACACACACATACAGATCAATCCCTCAGACGAAGGAATCTTATTTTCAAGATAAATCGTTGATCATGAATGCTTCCTGCTAAACATTAGCCTTATACAAATGCTTGGCATAATTCTGTTCTCAAGATTTCAACCATAAAATACTGTTTTTGATTATTATTGTAACATTTTAAAATTATCTCCTATAAGATACCTTGCATCCACCTTATAACACACTCATTGCTACAGATGTTGTTAATAGTGCAGTAAGTTTTGTCAGTTTTTAAAAAGTGAGATTTTTGAAGCAAGAGATGTCATACCAAAAGCTAGAGAATTAGAAAAAAGTTGAGGATAGGAGTAAAGATCTAGTAAAAAGGTCTAACAGCATAAGCCAAGATTTTGAATTAAAAAAATGTTAATACTTTTGGCCCGGCCGGGTGGCTCACGCCTCTAATCCCAGCACTTTGAGAGGCCGAGACGGGCGGATCACGAGGTCAGGAGATGGAGACCATCCTGGCTAACACGGTGAAACCCCGTCTCTATTAAAAATACAAAAAATTAGCCGGGCGTGGTGGTGGGCGCCTGTAGTCCCAGCTACTCGGGAGGCCAAGGCATGAGAATGGTGTGAACCCGGGAGGCAGAGCTTGCAGTGAGCCAAGATCGCGCCACTGCACTCCAGCCTGGGCAACAGAGCGAGACTCCGCCTCAAAAAAAGAAAAAAAAGGAAAAAAAATCTAATACTTTCTAGTCACTTTTTGTATTTAGTCTAGGTAAAAAGCAACTATTAACATCTCTATATAGTTTTCATTTAGCCCTGGAAATTTATTCCCGACCTGAATCAATCAATTAAACCTCATCAGTCTACTTTAAAAAGAAAAAAACAGTAAGAAGAGATTATTAACAGGTGGCTGAGAGTAACATCTAACTCATATTGACATGACTAAAATAAAAGGTTGATACGTTGGAACAGCTGGTAAGACAATCCAATTATACCCATGGTTTTGTAAAAGTTCACTTCCACATCAAAAGACAAACATTGCTATTCTCATTTTAACCATTCTAAAAGATAGAAAATAAATAGAGCAACATTAAATAGCAACAAACCATATAAAATATTTTTTCTAATTTGCAGATGTTGAATTAAAATATGTAAAATATTTATTGTAAACATTATAAATATTTTTAAAAGACTATTTAAACTGGATAGTCTGGAATTTTCCTTTCCAAGAAAGTGTAAAGTGCAGAGTATAATACAAAAATACCACAAAGATTTTACCATTCAACACTAGAAGTAACTTAAAAGGCACACATTATACATTCAAGAAGAAATAGGAAGAAGGGTCTAGCAGACGTTAATACCAAATAGTCTACAGGTAGCACCAGATGAGCACTGTTAAGTATTACAACAGTACAATGGCAATATATGGCTTCTACTATTAGCAATGCATATTTTGTATAACAAGCTATGGAACTTTTTAAATGGTTTCTCCGGTTTTGTTTTTAAATCATCTAGTACCTATTACACAAGTATATTTTAGTAGAACCATTGTACCATGCAAAACAAATTATAAGACTCAAATGCTTCCTTGAATGAAAGTGTTGGTGCTATAATAATCATTGGTTTCACTGACTGAATACATTTAAAAAGTGTTAATATAATACAAAAGGAAGTTGCCACCTTCACATACACACAAAACTTTTTGTTAACATTTAGTTTCTAACAAAACATTAATTAATGCACTGTTAATGTACTACCTTTCTTAGATCTCAAAATGTGTTGTCAAAAGCAAATGTTACAAGAACAATAGTGACCAAGATATTTAATACAGCTAACACAAATTGAACTTCAATGTGATTTTTTAATATTTAAATATAATTTTGATTACTTAGAATTTTTCCCAAGGCAAATATAATTTGTCTACATTGGAACACATAAACAACAACCCAGAATATGCTGCCATGGAATGTTCCCAGAAATACATTTAACAGTTTATTATAAATGGTAAACAACTCATCACTCAACATTTATAATACTAAGCATATTCTTTAAACTTAACCACATTCTATTTCCCCTCAGACAGTTAACTTTTCTATGTGCCTGGACAGCTCTAAGTTTTTAAAATGCAGACTGCTGTGTTTCCACTGACAGTTTAAATTCACTTTTAATTTTTGGTATTCAGAATATCTACCACAACAGCAGTTATGATGATTCAAGAGTTTGCTAATTTTGCTCTTGAAATGTACTCCCCTCACCTCACAGGGACGGCAGCACATGAGACCCACCCCAGGTCATCCTATGCACGACCTTACCCCTTCTGGGTGGGTAACAGCTTACTTTCATAATTACTTAGATCAGCGATTCCCAACTTGTGCTTGCTACATACTCACATAACCAGTAGCGGGTCCCTAAAGCAGTGATGATTCTCAACTGGCTGAGAGCCTGCCAACGATCAAGAAGAGTCACAGAGCCAGAGACTGTGGGAACCACCAAACCGGTTTCCAACAACTGAGAGAAGAGTGTGCTGTTTCCCTCACCCACCCATGTCTCCTAAGGGCTACTGGGACTGCCAAAGAGAGACACACCTTCTTTTGAAGAAAACGTGTGCTCTCAATCACCCCACGCAAGAAACAGGGAGTCCCAGGTCCCTAGGGTTGTACAGATAGAAAGTTCACAAGTGGGGTTTCCTAGAAATAAATCAGTGATTGCCAAAGATTACATCTGAATCTTTTAAAGGATAAGAGCTCTTCATTATCAAAAGATTAAAAATACCTGCATTTAATTTACCCAGAGTTCTGAGGTTTTCATTCTATTGCTAAGAAAACCAAAAAAGGATCTCAATAAAACAAGCAACCAAAGCATTTGATAGAAAAATGTACAGTGATAAGCAGAGGAAAAACAAACAGCCGCTGCCTGAGCCAAACATACCTGTCTCATAAAGAAAAAGAACAGAAACCGAAGAGCAATTGCTATGCCATTTCACCATGTCCCCTGTCTAAGCATAAAATCATCCTGCTTTAAATATTAGGCCCTCTGAATGAGTTAAAAATCTAACCCTTCTCAAGATGATCCTCAAATAAATCAGAAATATCTCAATTTTATTCTGATATACTATTTCCAGAATTCTGGTCTATTTTTTAACCTCTAAACTAAAATGTGAGAATGGTAAGAGAGCTTGTTTTAAAATGAGGCTTTTTTTTTCAAGTTTTCATTAAATTAAATTGGTAAAATCTTTTCTATACATTTTAAGTTTATGTATATATAAACTCAAAAATGACAGTGGAAGACATTTGAATGCTCCTAAATGATGGTGGCAGACACCCAAACAATTTGGGTGGAACTAGAAGTGGCAAGAACTTAGAGGCCCTTTCCTTTCAAGCTTCCCAACTCCAGAGAAGAGTCGACCACTGACCACCTGGCTAATCAGCTGGGTGAACTTCATCAGCAGACACCGTAAGGAAAGAGCAGCTAACCAAACACTGAAGTTAAAAATGTCAGGGGGAAAATAATTGTTTAACTTAAAATCGTGAGGTTCACTCTTCTCTTACAAATATCAGGTCATATTCTTTAAACAATTTTTATTTTAAAGTGCTTAAACACAAAGGCCTCAAAAACGGCCTAGTAATACTATCAGTTAAGAATATCTGTTATAAAATTATAACCTATTTAAAATCTAACATTCAAGTTTGAAACAAATGGGTGAAATCCAGAATGAACGCTAGAGCTTCACCCTTCATCAGCACTCTTCCATCTCGGAACATCATGAGCCGCCTACTATTGTATGATCCATAGGATTCAAGTGGGACACCCTAGATTAGAAATATCTAGCTGAAGTGCCTCTATTCTTAACGTTCTTACTTGTTCCACATTAAATTAGGCCAAAAATAAGCAGTAGTAAATACGGTCCTCTGAGGAAAGAACGGCCTCACATTAACTATATATTAATCTCGTTAAAATAAATGGCTGAAGTACAGAAATTTCAAAATGTATTTAAACAGGAAGAAGAGATGATATTACCAGGTCACTTTAAAAATAATGTATCAATATTCATTTTTAAAAAACCAAACCTACTCATTGCAAACTGAATATTCTCAAGTATTTTAGTCACGAATTCATGAAATTTTTTACTAATGTGTATATAAATTTAAAACAGACAGATGAGTAATTCATATACTCAAATTCATGAAACAAGAAAACCAATAATTACTCTCTTCTTTGTGAAGAACGTCTAATCAACGTGTTCTTCAAAGAGAAGAATCTGATACTTCTTCCTTGACATCTTGATTCAAAGGTGAAAATTACTCAAAATGAAACTTGAGGTGATCATGAATTGAAATTTCTCAAGTAGAATAAATCTACTTTGCCATCAGGTGCAAAAAGTATTGTTCTAAATACTTCCGCTTATCTAAGAGATAATGTACAACTGCCTGGAGGCAAAGCTTTAGCTTTAGATAAAATGAGACCTTTGCCCTCAGCCTTTCAAACTAGCTCCACTCACATCATGGACTTCTCCACCTGGTGAATTTTCATTTTAAATCTTCAACTCATTTTTAGATTGTAGTACAAAACTCATCAGTAAACTTTTTCTTGGTATTTTCCATACTGGCTTTTTATATGCCAGACACATGGTGATTTTTTTTTTCCCTGAACGTAATTTATAGAAATTCCCTGAATAACAAAAAGAAAACAATTTTGTTATATTCACTTGACAGCTAAAAAGAATTCCAAAAAGAAAACAACTATTTTGCTGCTGTAAGTATATGAAGAATATTTTTACCATTCCATTCATTTCACTGGAATGTATATGGAAGACATCCGTACAGCAAATAAAGAAGTCAGCAGCCAGAGTGAAATAGAGCAAGTCAATGTGTACTGTCATAGGAAGAGTTACGAATGTTTAAAGGCCCGGGATTAGCCACCCAAGGATTCAGTTAAGTACAGTACAAAGCTAACAACTCACAATTTACAAGTGGGTTATAAAAACTCTATAGTATCACATTAGTTTGCTAAAGAACTATGAATCTTCCAGTTGTAAACTGATAAATTCCTGAATGCATTTCTTATACTGCATTTCAGTATGGTTATTAGTAGAATATTGACCTGGCTGTCCATAAAGTCCTTCTGATTCCCGCATCTCTTCATTCATTCTTGCTAAACGTAACCTAAAAATAAATAAAATAGTGTTTTAGATGACATTATATAATATAAATGTCATAAATAAAGTCTATAAACAGGTAATACATGTACTAATGTAATTGTGTTTTATTTGCCATTAAAATAATCTGGCTTTTAGTTTATCAAACCCAGCAATCTGAGGTACAAAGATAAGTATCTCACCTTCATACAATTCTCATAAGAAAGGACAACAAAAATCTTCTGACGACTGCATTTTAGCTGTACTGCAGCAGCATCCCCGCAATACCTCTAGTGGCTTGCTTCCTCCAGATGCCTGACAATTCCTGGCTCTTACAGCAACCTGTCAAATTTTAACTGCCAACTGTTGAAATTATTGCTTCTATAGTGCAGAAGTGAGAACCTGTCATAAGTTCACTCTGGCTCACCCTGAAGTGAGGTAGCTGCAGACATATAAACAGCATGTGTGGCCTCTAAACACTGGGAATATATTTTGATATACAAACATTATAATAAATGACTATAGGTTACCAAGAATTTCCTAACATTACCATATTGCTTATACATTCTTTTTAGGTTACTCATCTTGGCAGCAGATGACATGTAGCACTAGATTAAGAAGCTAAGTATTTCCTTTAAGCAACATTTTAAAATAGGCAAATATTGTGTTTGGTACCCCTCTCCTACTCTGTACCTCTCGTCCGTCCTTCTGGGCCACCAAATTTCCACTGCCTTCTCAGACCTCCATCACCCTCTTCTGAAATGTTCTCTCTGGCAACTGCAGCGTGTGACATGAACTTTTCCTATCTTCAAAGTTCCACAATTCCCTTTATCTTCTCTCTCAACCACTGTGTGTATTAACAACAGTTCCACAAATCTTCCTTTGGCATTTGGGTTTTCACAGAGGATGCTTACAAAAATTCTTAAGTGAAACTGAAGCACTCACACAAAGTAAAACAAGAAAATTTAGACGATTTGAAAACAGATTATTTTTAAGGGAAGGGTCCACTGCTATATAGGTATTGCCTGGGAAGCTGCCTGCAGAGCTTGTCTCTCTATATCATTCCTATCTTTTCTTTAATAACTTATCTTTCTTCTACTGTAAATCTGTAATGATTTAAGAGTTCTACATTTTCCTGCAATAGCCTCCATAATAACAGTAACCCCTCCTGTGGGGAAAGGATCTGAGAAAGTATGTTTTGCTGTTTTGTTATTTTATTTGGCAGAGGGGTGACATATGACAAGTCAAGAATTCTCAGTAGGAGCTCAGGAGTGTGGATGGACCTATTTCTTCTCCAATGAGGGGGGATAAGCAATTATGGGCTTCATTTAGCCCAGGGTAAGTGAATAAGTGATAAAGAATAAGTGACGATACAAAACATGCTTGAGATTTCCTACATAATAAGGTATCGGTGACGATTAATTTTCTGAATTCCATGTGTAATAAACTACTTTGATCTGAGATGTAAATCAAATTAAGACCTCAAAATTATTTAAAAGATCACATTACATTTTATTCAAACATTCAGAAGCATGCATTTTAATCTTAAAATTAATCAAGTATTCACGTAAATAATTTTTTTTTTTTTTGAGACAGGGTCTCATTCATCCTCCCAAGTAGCTACGACTACACGCATGTGCCACCACACCCGGCTAATTTTTAATTTTTTGTAGAGACAGGGCCTCGCTATGTTGCCCAGGCTTTTCTCCAGCTTCTGGGCTCAAGCAACGCTCCCACCTCAATCTCCTGAGTAGCTTGGATTATGGGTGGGAGCACCTAGCTTTATGTGAATAATTCTTTTTAAAAACAAGCACAAATTCCTACCACTGCCCAAAGGTAATGGAACTTCACAAATTACTAATATCAATGCAACTATCCTGCCTACAGAATTAGAGAATCCTCTAATTCTCGAGGTAGTAGAATAATTATCTGTTAGTCTAACAATCCCAGCCTCTGCCCTAGTACTATACAAAGAGATAAAGAAACCATTTTAGCCGGGCACGGTGACTCACGCCTGTAATCCTAGCACTTTGGGAGGCTGAGGCAGGTGGATCACCTGAGGTCAGGAGTTTAAGACCAGCCTGACCAACATGGAGAAACCTCATCTACTAAAAATACAAAATTAGCCAGGCGTGGTGGCGCATGTGTGTAATCCCAGCTACTCAGGAGGCTGAGGAGGGAGAATCGCTTGAACCCGGGAGGCAGAGGTTGCTGAGCTGAGATCGTGCCATTGCACTCCAGCCTGGGCAACAAGAGCAAAACTCTGTCTCAAAAAAAAAAAAAAGAAACCATTTTGAAGAAGTCACTGGTTTTCTGTTTCTGTATCAGGCAGTATAGCATAAATGGCTAAGAACATGGGGAGCATGGGCTTTAGGGCCACAATTCTTGGTTTCAAATCCCAACTCCATCACTTACTAAAATCTCAAATTATCTATGGCTTGGCTTCTTTTTCTATAAAATGAAGACAATATTAACAATATCTTCCTCAGAGTTGTTGTGAGAACCAAATAAGTTCATGCATGTAAAGTGTTTAATACATTTAATGTGCTTAGAGAAGTACATGGCACAAAGTAAATACCAACCAACTTCGAAGTTCACACAATGCACAATGCTCTGTTAGCACTGTGTGCAAGTACAGTTGGCCGCTGTCCTTCTCTGTGGGTTCAACCAATCACCAGTGGAAAATATTCAGGGGAAAAAAGGCAATAAAAAACAACCATACAACAATTTTAAAATACAAATAATCGGCCAGGCGCGGTGGCTCACACCTGTAATCCCAGCACTTTGGGAGGCCGAGGCGGGTGGATCACCTGAGGTCAGGAGTTCGAGACCAGCCTGGCCAACATGGTGAAACCCCATCTCTACTAAAAATACAAAAATTAGCAGGTTGTGGTGGATCACGCCTGTAATCCCAGCGACTAGGGAGGCTGAGGCAGGAGAATGGCTTGAATCTGGGAGGTGGAGGTTGCAGGGAGCCGGTGCACTCCACTCTGGGCAACAGAGTGAGAGTCGGTCTCAAAAATAGATACATAAATATAAATACAAAACACTATAGTATAACAACTACATAGATAGCATTTCCATTGTATTAAGTATAATAAGTAGAGATGATTTAAAGTACATGGGAGGAGGTATGTAAGTTATATGTAAATACATACCATTTTATATAAGGGACATGAGCATATGTGGATGTTGGTATCCACAGGGTCCTGGAACTAATTCACTGTGGATAACCGAGGGACAACTGTAATTCACTGTATGGAAATAGTCAAGTAAAAAGGAAGTACTTACAAGGTGACTATATCAGCATTGGCTGCTTCCACAGCTATGCTCAAAGGGTCTTTCCCTTCTTCATCAGTGGCATGTTGATTGGCACCTCGTTTTAGGAATAAACATACCTGCCTGTTTAAGAACACAGCATTTTTGAGATATTGTCGATAAGAAAAAAAAATTAGTATTCACCTTAAAAAAAAAAAGTACTACTTAAGTAACATTTTCATTAGGAAATTCTTGATTCATTCTACAAATATTAACTGAACACTAACTCTACTAACAAAAACTTACCAAGATCAACATTTCACAAGTCTCAAGGTATTTTTGCATACATTATCTTATTTAATCTGGTGCTATATAGATAGCATGGTGGATATATAAGTTGTGGTCCCTACCCTCAAAGAATATCATAAAAAGGCCAGACGTGGTGGCTCACGCCTGTAATCCCAGCACTTTGGGAGGCCAAGGTGTGCGGATCACAAAGTCAGGAGATCGAGACCATCCTGGCTAACAAGGTGAAACCCCGTCTCTACTAAAATTAAAAAAAAAAAAACATAGCCGGGTGTGGTGGCGGACGCCTGTAGTCCCAGCTACACAGGAGGCTGAGGCAGGAGAATGGCGTGAACCCGGGAGGCGGAGCTTGCAGTGAGCCGAGATCACACCACTGCACTCCAGCCTGGGCGAGAGCAAGACTCCGTCTCAAAAAAAAAAAAAAAAAGAATATCATAAAAACATGTGCACAGGTATCTATAAACCTAAATGAAAAAAAGATCACTCAAGGTCATTATTTGAAAATGAAGAAAGCCAAGGCAATGTAAACTTCATAATAATAATACAACAGCAAAGAATGGGAAGTAATCTGCTTGCTGTACTTGCAAATATTCATTACTTGAATAAACTGAAAAAGAAATCTAAAATATGAAAGAATAACTAAATGGAGTCTATGAAATAAAATGGAAAGAATTTTGATAGTTTAAGAAGAAAATAATGGCTGGGCAAGGTAAGCACCTGTAATCTCAGCTACTCAGAAGGCAGAGGTAGGGGGAATCACTTGAGGTCAGAAGTTCAAGACCAGCCTGAGCAACATAGCAAAATGTCTCTAAAAAAAATTTAAAAATTAGCCGGGAGTGGCAGGGCATGCCTGTAGTCCCAGCCACTTGGGAAGCTGAGGCATGAAGATCCTGAGCCCCAGAATTCAAGGCTGTAGTGAGCTATGAATGTGCCTATGAACAGTCACCACACTCCAACGTGAGCAACATAGTGAGACTCCCATCTCTTAAAAAAAAAGAAGAAAATACAAAGGATGAGTTAAGTACTACCTTAAATACTACCTTTTTTAAGTGTAGAAAGTTTAAACGATGAAGTTATCTGACTGAATCTCTTTGCTGATAGAAGAAAACAAGCCATGATAAAAATAGCCAGACATGGCCGTGCGCAGTGGCTCATACCTGTAATCCCAGCATTTTGGGAGGCTGAGGCAGGTGGATCACCTGAGGTCAGGAGTTCAAGACCAGCCTGGCCAACATGATGAAACCTCGTCTCTACTAAAAATACAAAAAAATTAGCCAGGCATGGTGGTGCACACCTACAATCCCAGCTACTCAGGGGGCTAAGGCAGGAGAATCGCTTGAACCCAGGAGGCGGAGGTTGCAGTGAGCTGAGATCGTGCTACTGCACTCCAGCCTGGGTGACAGAGCAAGACTTTATCTCAAAATAAATAAATAAATAAATAAATAAATAAATAAATAATAAATAAATAAATAAATAAATAAAAATAGCCAGACACAGTGGCTCACACCTATAACCCAAGCTACTAGGGGAGGATCGCTTGAGCCTAGGAGTTCAAGGCTGTAGTGAGCTATGATTGCACCAGTGCACTCCTGCCTAGGCAACAGGGCGAGACCCTGTCTCTAAATAAATGAAGATGCTATTTTAAAAATATTTCAAAATAAGAGCTTCTTGCTTATCCACCACATAATAATCGGATACCCTGAGATATCTTATTAAGAAACAAGCGTTTAAGACACAAATTTTTCACATAAAGCCAGCATTTTCTTTCATGTATACTTCCTAATAATAGAAAGTCCATTTTCAAGGCTTTATTGTTCTGTGAATCTTACTATCGCTCCAGAAGACACAATGTCAACAACCCAAAGTAAGAATTTAGTTTAGAATTTGACTTTAGCTACCCTGTGGAAAAAACTAAAAATTACAAAGTCATCAAATTATCTTTAAATAGGTTATGTGTGTGCATGCTATGGAAATAATGTATATGTACATACATACATAAACACAAACACAGGCTTAAGTTGTCTGACAAAATCACAATTTTAATAACAGAGAAAGTTAAGTACTAAAACTGATCTATTTAATGACAAGTTAAGGTCAAAGTAAGCCTTGAAATTTTTGTATCTGAAAACCAATAGTAGCTTTTTCTGAAAGAGATTTTTTTTAACTTTCAAATTCCATCGTGACAAAATAAGTCATGGAACACATCTCTTTACAAACACTACCTGAAAACTTTAACCTAAGAAAAACTAAAACATTAATTCAAAATAATTTTTCAAATAAAGTCTCCTTAAATATGAAAGCACTGCAGTTACCCTGTGTGCCCTAAGACGGTGGCATGGTGCAATGGTCCCCGCCCTTGGACATCTCTTTGGTTGACATTAGCACCATTCTGTAGGAGGAACTCACACGTCACCAAAGAGCCCTTAAAGGAAAAAAGAGGATAACTATAGACAAAAGCAAATAACAAGAAACAACAATACATTTCTTTTTAAAAACAATTGGTTTTCGTTACTCAAATAGCATTTCCATTTCCTTCTCTCCAAAACAAAAAATATCCCTCAGCCAAGGCAGAGAAATTATAAATTATATTATTTTCTTCCCAAGAACTAATTCTAATAGAGATTCATTTGCAGTTTGTGAACTAGCAAAACACATTATATACTTTCATTATCGGAATTCTCTTCCACTGCAAAAAAACTTGAAACAACCGAAGTGGTGCTCAGAAACCACTACTATTAATAGCACAGAGGTTCCTTCTATTTTCTAACCCATCTCTTGAAGCAAAGACAATACTAAAGCCAGTTCAGAACATATTATGATTTTTTTTAAATATTTGATTGCTACTGAAAATGTCATTGTATAAACGCATACCCCTAATACAGCCTGAATAAGTGGTGTCGCTTTGTTTTCCTCTGAATTGGCCCAGTTCACGTCTGCACCATGAGCCAAAGCCTCAGCCATTTTAGGAAGGTTTTTTTCATATGACGCCCTATAAAGCTGAAGTCCTGGATTAAGATGTTTCGAGTCAAGAAACATAGAAGAATCTTGCCTTTCTCCTTCTGAAAAGCAAACACATACACATCAATAAAAATGAGCTCTTGGCAGAAAAAGAAAAAATTATTTAATAGGTAGAGTTTCAGTTTTGCAAGATAAAAAGAGTTCTGTGGATGAATGGCAGTAAAGATAGCACACTAATGGGAATATACTTAATGCCACTAAACTGTACACTTAAAAATGGTTAAGATGGGCCAGGCACGGTGGCTCACGCCTGCAATCCCAGCACTTTGGGAGGCCGAGGGGGGTGGATCACTTGAGGTCAGGAGTTTGAAACTAGCCTGGCCAACATGGTGAAACCTCGTCTTTACTAAAAATACAAAAATTAACCAGGCATGGTAGCGGGCACCTGTAATCCCATCTACCTGGGAGACTGAGGGACGAGAATCACTTGAACCCGGGAGGCAGAGGTTGCAGTGAGCTGAGATTGCACCACTGCACTCCAGCCTGAGCAATAGAGCGAGACTCAGTCTCAAAAAAAAAAAAAAAAAAAAAGTTAAGATGATAAATTTTATGTGCATTTTATTGCAATTTTTAAAAAATAAAGCTATGACATAAGAAACCATTAATCTATCATAATGAGCTTATGGGAGATTTTCACATAGCTATTCCCCAACATTCAACCTTCTTCTTCTATAAAGACAATCACTGATATGCCAGGCCTTTCTGTTCTTGCCAGTATCCAAGGGATAGGTTAATTACTCTGTACTACATTAAAATTGAGTATATTCCTAAATGTTGGGACTTAAGAAGCAGCAAGAATCCATAAAAACTTTTACTACTAGACCAAACCTCACTTCATTCCTAGGATGGTCCAATACCATCCCAATTGGCACTACAAGCACTTCAAATAATTTGAAGAGTGCTGACTCCCCTGAGTACTCTGCAGGACCAAAATCACTGAAATCATGGAGGAGGGGACAAGGGTTTAAAGCACAAGTCAAAAGAAAAATCTAATGGGGAGGGAGTTGCTGATCTCTTTCTCCTGATAGGACAGCCACAAGGAAAGATAAACGATAATAAGACAGTTCATGTGGATTAAAAATTATCCTTGGCAATTGGTAAGGCACTTTTAGCACATACCATTAGGCTTGGAAGAATGTACAACTAAGCATCAGGTGTGCTGGCTGACGCCTATAATCCCAGCACTTTCGGAGGCTGAGAGAGGTGGATCACTTGAAGTCAGGAGTTCAAGACCAGCCTGGCCAACATGGTGAAACCCCATCTCTACTAAAAATACAAAAATTAGCTGGGCATGGTGGCACACACCTGTAACCCAGCTACTTGGGAGGCTGAGTAGGAGAACTGCGTGAACAGAAGGTAGAGGCTGCAGTGAGCCAAGATCATGCCATTGCACTCCAGCCAGGACAACAGAGCGAGACTCAAAATAAAAAATAAAATGTAGGGCAGCCTCGGTGGCTCGCGCCTGCAATCCCAGCACTTTGGGAGGCCGAGGCGGGTGGATCACGAGGTCAGGAGATTGAGACCATCCTGGCTAACATGGTGAAACCCCACCTCTACTAAAAATACAAAAAAAAAAAATTAGCCAGGCATGGTGGTGGGCATCTGTAGTCCCAGCTACTCGGGAGGCTGAGGCAGGGGAATGGCATGAACCCGGGAGGTGGGGCTTGCAGTAAGCGAAGATCGCACCACTGTACTCCATCCTGGGTGACAGAGCAAGACTCCATCTCAAAAAAATAAATAAATAAAAATTTTAAAAAGTATAAACAATATATAGCTAGGACAGAATTTCCAAATATGAAGAAATCGCTGCTTTCTCATTTAAGAGTATTACTCCTCCCCTAGTTACCTTCTAAAAGACTAACCCCTTCCTTTAAAATATTTAATCAAGAGTAGGGCCGGGCACGGTGGCTCAAATCCCAGCACTTTGGGAGGCCGAGGTTGGTGGATCACAAGGTCAGGAGTTCGAGACCAGCCTGGCCAATGTGGTGAAACCTCGTCCCTACTAAAAACACAAAAATTAGCTGGGCGTGGTGGTGGGCGCCTGTAATCCCAGCTACTCGGGAGGCTGAGGCAGGAGAATCACTTGAAACTGGAAGGCGGAGGTTGCAGTGAGCCAAGATCGTACCGCTGCACTCCAGCCTGGGCAGTAAGAGTGAAACTCCATCTCAAAAAAAAAAGAAGAAAAAAAAAAAAAAAATTATATATATATATATATATATAATTTTTTTTTTAATCAAAGGTAAACATTTACCACATGCACTTTCCAGCAAACAAAACCAATTAACATTGAGTTTCATCAGAACTCACCAGGCTCATATAAACTATTGGCTGACACCGTGGAGGGTAAAGATTCTCTTCCATCATCAGAGCTCTGCTGAATTCCACTGTCATTACTTCTGACTGTTTTAAAGAAAAATTAACTAATGATTAAAGTTCATGCCATTTAGAAAACAATCTCCCACAAACAAGGTTTTAAAATGAGCTCTTACACATCAACATGAACTCAGGCACCACAAGGAGAATGCATTTAATATAATTTTAAGCCTTTTGAACACTTAGCTTATCGAGATATAAATCAATCATAAAACCTGAAAATAAACTTATTTTCAGAGTTTAACACATCTCATTACTCCATAATATGTCAGGGGTAGTAAAGAGCTTAATTTATTATATGACTGTAAGTAACGTGTAATTCTGAGACAATGGGTAACATCTAGAGAAATGGCCACACCGCACAATGACCACTGGCACAGACTTGGAATGCTCCACAAGAGTAGTACTTACTACTACGCAGTTTTGAAGAAGTATCAAAGTAGGAGAAGAGTGAATCTAGCTCATCAGGACAAAACAGAGACTCCCGCCTGGCCTCGTCGCTATTTACAGCAATCACTGGGGACATGCAAGTTAGCAAAGCACAAAGCAGGCCATAAGAAGGGAAAAGGGCAGGAAAAAACGTTACTGGGAAAAAATTTAGGAGGAAAAAATAGGAAGGAAATCAGGTAGTTAATCAGATACTTAGGGCTTTTGAAATGTCAGGTTTATAATTCCCATCTCCCCTTGCATTTTAAGCAGTTTTATTCCTTAGAATATACACATTACCTAGAAAGGTGAAATATTATGGCATTGTTTAAAGTTAACTATTTTAAAGACACAGAAATTCAGTTTTTCTTAGAATATGTAGAAGGGAACAGGTTTTTAACATTAAAAAAAACGACAATGGCTATTAGTTCAGGGATTATAAAAGTGATTTGAGCTTAAGAAAATAGCTATAGACACAGTAAGAAAGTTTGCCATACCTGAACTTTGGGCAGATGCTCTGACTTGGTCCCCTGGCCCAAATTTAGAAATGCTCAGCCTCTTTTCTTCAGAACTTTTAGAGACAAACTTTTTTTGCTGCTCAGGAGGTGATAATGATATAGAATATTTATCCACAAATTTCCTCTCCACATATTTTGCTCTGATATATGCCTCCTTCTCCTGTCTGACAGACATAAAAATGTCATGATGTTTTGCTTAATCTCTCAGCATGGCTAATACCACAACAAGCCATTATATACTGAACATATTCAAACAAAGTCACTGAATGTAATACTGGTTAAAACTGAATCTGTGACATTATACATATATATATTATGTTTCCCTTCCAAATACCTAATGAACTATGATTTCACACTCAAGTGAAATACAAACAGTAACCTAACTGAAAAATCACTAGTATTAACATGCTACTCTTCCCTTCTCTTAATTTCTGTGCTATTCATTTCTATACTGCCCTCATGCTTTTTGCAGAGTAGAAAACATCACCAGAAAAAAAAAAACTTAAAAATTTATAGAAAGTAACTTTATTTTCATGTTTACTCAAATAAATAATTTCACATACTGAACGAGCACTATTGATGGCTATTTTTCATAAGACTACTTTAAAACAACATATAGCATTATTAATTTAAGAAATAAAATAAACTTGTAACTTATGATACCATTATAAAATGCCATATCTGTTCTATACTTTTTACTTATATCCTCTTAAAAAGTTTAGGTCTTTGGTTAAAATAGAAGGCTATTTCAAGGTCTGAAATAACTCAGTCTTGTTTTAGTAAATAATTAAGATTCTGATTTAAATGGTATTGGTTTAGACAGCAATAACTTTCAAATACAATTGGTCATACATGAAGACTCAGACAGAAATCAGTATCAACAACAAAAATCATGTGCTTTGAAGGTACCAACTCTTAGCCACTTCATTCAATGAGCCCTCCTTATACAGAATTGGAAGAATAATTTCAAACACAGCAATCAAGTACTCTCCCCCTTTCAGAGGCACACTTTGCATCTTTAGTTCTTCAATATTATAATGCCATGCATAAACTATGTGATTAACAAATCTTTGCTAAATTAAGTATGAAAAATGTAAAATTATTCACTGTAGGTTAACAGAAACTTGATCCTTAGAGACAGTAATGAATAGATTATCCCTTTTTGAATGCTACCATGGACAGAACTTTGGTCTACTTTAACTGACTGTTAAGGGTTTCTACATTCCTATGCAGAGCCCTAATTTTTAAGATCTTTCTACTCTAAAGACTATAATTGATTATCTGTTCAATACAATATAATTATCTAATTAACATACCGAAGAAAGAGATAGCCAACATTCGAACAGAAGTGGTAATGACTGCTTCTAAACACTTTGTCTCAATGTTATATATCAATTACTACAGTGAAATAAAATCATAGCTATATTCCTAATTAGGGGGAAAAAACAACTGAAATAGTACCTTTGTCCTGGTTGGGGTTTCTTTATTCCCATTTTTTCCACATTAGCTTCATAAACTCGATTTATAACATCATTCCCCAACTCACACATAAGCTGTTTGGCAAAAAAAAATAGAAAAATAAGCTATACATTAAAGACCTTAAAATAAGCTAAAATTTAAAAATCCTTTAAGCAAGTACAGTTAACTAATCCCCTTACACATTCTGCAGATGCTTATTCTACAAAGAAGTTTTATGTTAAAACAAAATGAGACAAGAACTGAGAGTAATATTATCACCTTGCTGTTCTTCACCAAATTACCTCTGCTAGAAGATTATCACCCCCACCAGAGTCATTCTCTCTCTCTACAAGTTTATCTATGTATCTATCTAGCCACATATCACAGCTATTGTATCTATCTCTATGTCCACAGAAAGGCAAGAAGTATGACAACAAAGCATTATCTACACAGTAAGGTGCAGTAAGTACTAGCCAGTGTTAGGACAGTAAGTTAAACATTAAGTATCTATTCTTTTCAGTTTTCACATCTAGTTCCTAGAAATATGCAAATCTATCAAATTTACAACTTTCTGGTAATTATTTTTGAACTTTTACCTCTTTTTGGGTTGGGTTCTGTCTTCAGATAACAAACAACACCTAGTTGTATGTTCCAAATTCTTTTAGATTTTCCTTTCCATCTGTTACTCACCTCTTTAATTCTGTTCAAGCTCTCCTTGCCTCACTAATAAATTATATCTGTACCTTCTTAGCTAATCTTATTGCTTCTAGTTATGCCCAATTCCAGGCTTGACCACAAAAACAAACAGTTTTCCCAAGAGCAGATCACCCAAACCATTTCCCTGAAAAATCATACGTAGGTAAAAGGGACACTAATACACATTAAGATAACATTACCACTATGTAGAGAATAGAGGTTAAAGTGTTGGGACAGGTGAGATGTGGGAGCAGGCAAGGCCTGGGATGAGATAACAAGAGGATTACAATGCTCTCTGGACCCAACAACAGGAGTGAAGTCTGGGAAGAGCACTCTCATAGGCAAGAGAATGGTTTCCCTTTCTCTCCTCTTTTTTTTTTTTTTTTTTTTTGAGACAGAGTCTCACTCCATCACCTAGGCGGTAGTGCAGTGGCATGATCTTGGCCCACTGCAACTTCCACGTCCCAGGTTCAAGTGATTCTCCGGCCTCAACCTCCCGAGTAACTGGGATTACAGATGGCCACCACCACACCCAGCTAGTTTTTGTATTTGTAGTAGAGACAGGGTTTCACTATGTTGGCCAGGCTGGTCTCAAACACCTAACATCAAGGATGATCTGCCCACCTCGACCTCTCAAAGTGCTAGGATTACAGGCATGAGCTACCACACCAGCCTCTCTCCTTTTCCTTAATCATGAGCCCTTTTGAGGTCCCATTATTTCTATGACATCCCTCTTCTGTCATTTCCATTTATTCCTTTTTTTTTTGAGATGGAGTTTCCCTCTTGTTGCCCAGGCTGGAGTGCAATGGCACAATCTCGGCTCACTGCAACCTCTGCCTCCTGGGTTCAAGCAATTCTCCTGCCTCAGCCTCCCAAGTAGCTGGGATTACAAGCATGCACCACCACGCCTGGCTAATTTTGTATTTTTGGTAGAGATGGGGTTTCTCCATGTTGGTCAGGCTGGTCTTGAACTCCGGACCTCAGGTGATCCACCTGCCTCAGCCTCCCAAAGTGCTGGGATTATAGGCGTCAGCCACTGCGCCCAGCCTTCCATTTATTGTTTCTACTATCTCTCCCTGTCACTTTCTTTCCCCTCTTCCCATAGCCCAGCTACCTCTTAAAAATCTTAAATGTGCTAATTCCTTCTTTGAGCAATTATTACTTCTAGTTTTATACAGCATATTTTTCATTTTTAAAGTAAAGATACTAATTATTATATATAAAGTCTTCTTTAAAATCTGCACTGGTACTGTGAGACATCACTGCATCAGACTAGTAGCACAGAAATCAACCTTATTTACAAGAAATTTAATGTAAGGCAAAGGAAAAATAAGAAAATGATGGGAAAGGAAAGGATTTTTCAATTACTGATGCTAAGAAAGGTGGTTACGGATTTGGAAAAACTGGCTGCGTGTGGTGGCTCATGCCTGTAATCCCAGCACTTTGGGAGGCCGAGGCAGGCAGATCACTTGAGGCCAGGAGTTCAAGAACAGCCTTTGCAACATGGCAATACCCCGTCTCTACAAAAAATACAAAAAAAAAAAAAATTACTTGGGAGGCTGAGGCACAAGAATTGTTCCAACCCAGGAGACAGAGGTTGCAGTGAGCCGAGATTGCACCACTGCACTCCAGCCTGGGTGACAAAGTGAGACTCCGTCTCAAAAAAAAAAAAAAGGCCGGGCGCGGTGGCTCACGCCTGTAATCCCAGCACTTTGGGAGGCCAAGGCGGGTGGATCACGAGGTCAGGAGATCGAGACCAACCTGGCTAAGACGGTGAAACTCCATCTCTACTAAAAATACAAAAAATTAGCTGGGTGTGGTGGTGGGCACCTGTAGTCTCAGATACTCAGGAGGCTGAGGGAGGAGAATGGTGTGAACCCAGGAGGTGGAGCTTGCAGTGAGTCAAGATCGCGCCACTGCACTCCAGCTTGGGCGACACAGCGAGACTCCCTCTCAAAAAAAAGAGAGAATTTGGAAAAAATATCAAGAGTTAGGCACACATTTTCTACTCTACACTAAATAAATTCACAATATACTACGATTAAAATTTGAAAAATATTCTTATAAAAATGAGTGAATTTCAAAAAAAATTAAAAACATTCTATTTTAAAAAGAATGGGAATTAGTATCTACTTTCCGTCTTTCTTTTTTCTTTTTTTTTCTTTTTTTTTTTTTTTTTTTTGAGACACAGTCTTCCTCTGTTGCCCAGGCCGGAGTGCAGTGGTGCGATCTCGGCTCACTGCAACCTCTGCCTCCTGGATTCAAGCAATTCTCCTGCCTCAGCCTCTCGAGTAGCTGGGACTACAGGTGTGTGCCACCACGCCTGGCTAATTTTTGTATTTTTAATAGAGACAGTTTCACCATGTTGGCGAGGCTGGTTTCAAACTCCTGACCTCAAGTGATCTGCCCACCTTGGCCTCCCAAAGTGCTGGGATTACAGGCATGAGCCACCGCACCCGGCCACAGGATTTCAGACAGAAACAAATGAGCATATACTCCAACCCTTAAACTCATCTATTTTCTACAATATGGTAAACTAGATGGCAGGAATTAAAAGGATTATACTACTATTTCGAATTTTGTAAATCTTATCAGAAACCGGTAGTGGTCTAAAATTATTTATGACATTTTCATAGATATAAATTCTTAGACACAGGGAAAAAAGGAAGACTTGGTATGATGACTCCTAACCTGACAAATATAAATTTGCAAATCATCGTATGCTGAAACAACCCAATGGTGTCAAAAGCTTTTCTAATCCATTATGAAGTTTAGTATAGCAATAGACCTCTTATATATTTAAAAAGAATCTAATCAGAAAAGATTAAAATTAAGGCATAGAATCTGAACTGGGCCAAGGGTAGTGGCTCACACCTGTAGTCCCAGCACTTTGGGAGGCCGAGGTAGATGGACTGCTTGAGCCCAGGAGTACAAGGCCAGTCTGGGCAACATGGTGAAACCATGTCTCTACGAAAAATACAAAAATTAGCCAGGCATGGTGGCATGCATCTGTGGTGTCAATTGCTTGGGGGGTCTGCAGCACGAGGATTCTTTGAGCCAAGGAAGTCCCGGCTGCAGTAAGCTGTGATGGTGCCACTACACAGCCTGCACAAGGGAGCGAAGACCTTGTCTCAAGGAAAACAAGAACAGTGAACTAACCTGGAGTTAAGAGTGCTATATATAAATATAGCCTTTTTTTTTTCTTTTTTTCTTTTTCTTTTTTGAGACGGAGTCTCTCTGTTACCCAGGCTGGAGTGCAGTGGCGCGATCTCGGCTCACTGCAAGCTCTGCCTCCCGGGTTCACGCCATTCTCCTGCCTCAGCCTCCTGAGTAGCTAGGACTACAGGCACCCGCCACCACGCCTGGCTAATTTTTTGTATTTTTTAGTAGAGACGGGGTTTCACCGTGTTAGCCAGGATGGTCTCGATCTCCTGACCTCATGATCCGCCCGCCTCGGCTTCCTAAAGTGCTGGGATTACAGGCGTGAGCCACCGCACCCAGCCAAATGTAGCCATTTTTAAAACTTACAATGAAAACACCAGATTTGCCAAAATAGCCTCAGATGTGTTTCAATACAATTTAGCTAGCATACATTGGTAGCATGAAGAACTCACACATTTGTAAACCAAGATTCTAAAATCTTCACTTTCATGTGAAAATATGAAATATTTTAAAGCAAAAATTTTTTTTACCTTTAAAAGTTCTGGCTCCCAGGTGTCTAAAGTTAAAGATCGTACTTTTGAAAAATGAACCCCAAGGCTCCTAAGTGGAAAAAAGAAGACTGCATTACTATCAAGTCTCTGTTTGCGTATTTGCGCAAGTTCTGTTTTAACGTGACACAGGCTCTAATAAAGCCCTCGGCATACACATATAGGCACAGATCTTCTGTTTAATAATGAATGATGAACCAAAGTCCTCAACAGCTTTTACAAACCAGGATTTTAACTACTTCTTAAAAGGTACAAAGATACAAACTGGTGATTAAATTAGGGAAGTGGAAAAGGGCAACTAACAAGTGAAACAACCATTTCTATCTGTGTTTATCCAAAAGAAGAAATTCTCATCCTGGGCAGGCCTACCCACCGGTGAATTCCGGAGCACTCGATACACAAGGTGATGCCCAGGTTGATGCTGGCCCACCGTGGATCTGCCAGGCCACAGTCACAACAGCTGGCATTGCCAGGGATACACTGGACCCGCTGAAGCGCACTTTCTCCTTTCAATAATTTCTCTTTGGACTCATTTCCAGAATCTAGGCTTCCTGTGGATGGAGATGATTTCTTATCCAGCTTCTAAAAGAATTAAGAATTACTTGTTTTTAAAAAAAAAAAAGATTGAAATACTTTGTTGCACACTACATGCTCCAAACTAAAGCTTCCAATCAATAAATTAAAGGCCTGTTACAGGCATAAGCAAGGCAATAGTCTAGCTAGAAATTCAAGGATAAAAAGATGTAGGTTCTTCCATCAGTGAGCTTTTATTCCAGTGGGGAGAAACGTGTAAACATTTAAAATTATATATAATAAATGACACAATGAACATATGTACAAAAGATGAAGACAGAAAGGGAACACTAGTCTAACATGCAGGGTGGAGACAGAGGAAATAGGTAAGGGATTATTCAAACTCAAGAATGAAATAAATATTATTGTTTTATACCACACTTTTCCAAGGCGTTCAATAAACTTTAAGCTAGTCATTGTTTTTTTTTTCAGACCTCTCAGGGATAAGGCAAGTTAATTACTGCAGTGAGTAACTAGGAAAGGTATGAGCTTATATAAATAGTAAAGAAGAGATCAACTACAAAATTATAACTACAGAGTGAATCAAATATAGAACATACAATGTTTAAAACTTCAAGGGATATTAGGTAAAAGAGAAGAAAAGCAAAAGATGGCTGATTAACAAAAAGTTAATTTTTTGGCCGAGAGCGGTGTCACCCCTGTAATCCCAGCACTTTAGGAAGCTGAAGCGGGAGGACCACTTGGGTCCAGGTGTTCAAGATCAGCCTGGGCAACAGAGCAAGAGCCTGTCTCTAAAAAAGAATATGTCTGGGCACAATGGCTCATGTCTGTAATCCCAACACTTTGGGAGGCTGAGGCGGGTGGATCACTTTAGGCCAGGAGTTCAAGACCAGCCTGGCCAACACAGTGAAACCCTGTCTCTACTAAAAATACAAAAAAATTAGCTGGGCGTGGTGGCGCACACCTGTGATCCCAGCTACTCAGGAGGCTGAGACATGAGAATAGCTTAAACCCAGGAAACGGAGGTTGCAGTGAGCCAAGATCATGTTGACAAGAGTGAGACTCCAACCTGGGTGACAGAGTGAGACTCCGTCATATGAGCGTAAATACATACATACATACAAACATACAAATTAGCTAGGCATGGTGATGCACACCTGTGGTCCCAGCTACTCAGAAGGCTGAGGCATGAGAATTGCTTAAACCCGGGAGGGGGCTATTGTAGTAAGCCAAGATCATGCCACCGCACTCCAGCCTGGGTGACAGAGTGAGACTCCATCATATGTACATAAATACATACATACATACAAATTAGCTAGGCATGGTGGTGCACACCTGTGGTCCCAGCTACTCAGAAGGCTGAGGCATGAGAATCACTTAAACCCAGGAGGCAGAGGTTGCAGTGAGCCAAGATCATGACACCGTACTCCAGCCTGGGTGACAGAGTGAGACTCCATCATATGTACATAAATACATACATACATACAAACAAATAAGCTAGACATGGTGGTAAGCACCTGTGGTCCCAGCTACTCAGGAGACTGAGGTAGGAGGACTGCTTGAGCCCAGGAGGTCAAGGCTGCAGTGAACTATGATCACACCACTGCATTCCAGCCTGGGAAACAGGGCAAGACTCTGTCTCCCCGCCATCCTGCTACATGGCCATAATGACCGAATACAAAGATGTGGTACTTAGATCCTAAACAATGACAGATATGGTCTATAAAAAGTCTTCTGGTTTAAAAACATTTCAGGTCAGGCAAAGTAGCTCATGCCTGTAATCTCAGCACTTTGGGAAGCCGAGGTGAGTGGATCACAAGGTCAGGAGTTCGAGAGCAGCCTGGCCAATATGGTGAAACCCTGTCTCTACTAAAAATACAAAAAAAAATTAGCCGGGCATGGTGGTACATGCCTGTAATCCTAGCTACTAGGGAGGCTGAGGCAGCAGAATCGCTTGAACCTGGGAGGTGGAAGTTGCAGTGAGCTGAGACCGTGCCCCTGCACACCAGCCTGGGCAATGGAGTGAGACTCCATCTCAAAAAAAAAAAAAAAAAAAAAAAAAAAAAAAACTTCCCTGTAAGTTTAGGATTATTCCGAAATTTTAAGAAAGAAATATTTGTTTTACCAGAATATGTTCGATAATGGGAATTAGCAATTATGTAAGGAAAGAATATCAATATTATATTACAGAAATCATGTTGGTTCATTCCCAAGTTTTCTCTATATGCTAATGTTTTTGCACCAAATTAGAGAACTAAGTACACAAACACAGCAAAACTTGGGTCAGCCACTTCAAGGAACACAGCACTGAATATGACACCAATTCACGAAAGTATTAATAGGAGGAATGATTGTTTAAGCAGGACAGTTCAATCCTACTGTCGCTGCCCCCCATCTCCATGCCACTAGGGGATGACTGCTCTCTACACAAACACAATGACTGGAAGTTATTCTCTGGAGGATTAAAACAGAGTCTCTGAATCGACTTCACCTGAAAGGTGGAAGCCAGAGGATTAAATGAACATATACATACAATATGCTAAGATACCCAGTGCTTAGCTCCCCACCAATCCCTCATAGCTATGCAGGAGATCAATGAGTCTTCTCTGGGAAATCACATCAGCCGAAAAGACTCAAAAAGACCCTGACGATGGTTGTTCCTCAACAAATGGTCCAGACTTAGACAAAGGCCACAGTCAACAAAGTCCTAATTTTGTGCTCAGAGTTTCCAAAGAAGTTTTTAGTGCCTAACACTTATGATGAGATAGCCAAAGGAAGCCTCTAACGCAATAGCTCTCAACATTGGTTGTTTATGGAACTAACCCAGGAAGCTTGTGAAAGTACTGATGCCCAACTCCATTCAAGTGTTCTGGGGTGGTACCTAAGCAATGGGGGTTTTTCAAGCTCCCTGTGTGGTGACATCATAGTATGCAATGATGGTTAAGATCCACAGCTCTAACACTGATTCCACGAAAAAAGAACAGGTCTATATCTGTAAACATTTAGTGAACAAACACAGCTCTTGGAAATTAAGTATGTGCTAGCAGAACTGAAATATTCAATAGAAGACTTGGAAGATTAACTGAGAAGATTTCCCAGAAAGTAGAGCAAAACAACACACACGGACACAAAAATAAGAAAATCATAATACCAATCCAGAAAATACAGAGCAACTGGAGAGGAGAAATACAGCAGGTCATTAATAAGAAAAGCTTCAACATCAACACTGGAAACTAAAAAACAAACAATGCTGTTAAAATTCTCAAGATTATTTCCAATCTTAAAATATCCAACCAAACTACCAATCAAATATGAGGACAGAACCAAGACCTTTTCAGATATGCATGGAATCACAAATGCCTCATTTTCAGGAAGCTACTAGAGAAAGTACTTAAGTTTTCCTTAAGCCAAGAAGGAGAAAGATATGGGATACAGGAAAGAGAAGAAACTCCAGAAATGATTTTGTAAGGAAATCCCAGACTGACAGCCATGCTGCAGGCTTAGGGAGCAACTGGTCCAGATTGGAGAAGTGTGATTCTAGAGACAGACGTATTGAGGGCTATCTTTGCTGACATGCCCTTCGTCAATGTTCCCATCATTTGTACCCAGACAAGTTCACGCAAACGTGGCTACTGATCAAATTCCTACTTTCATCTCTAAGCCTTTCTGCTTGGATCAAGTTAGTCGTCCCCCCATAATCCCATGCCTGAAAAGGTTCTGCTTTGATCTATGATCTATATTTGGGAGCTGGAAGTTGGCCACGGTAAGTTTTGGAATACAATTTAGAGAGCAGTCGATCCCCCTAACCATACTCCCAACAATTATCTATCACTAAGCCTATGCCACAGTCTTGCCAGATGACCCAAAAGTGCTGAGTTCCATTTCTCAGGACCCATTTACTCACTCACTGCGTTGCCCAAAAGACTTTCTTGGTAAGCTCTTTGAGAAACTGAGGCCAGACTATGACCTAAGTTCCCACATTCACCTTATATTTTTAAGGGGCCTTCACCTAAGAGACAATATTATGCTTCCCTTTTTTGCTTTCATTCAGTTTTAAACACCTTTCATGATCATTATTTTATTTTATAATTAACTAAAATGGCACAATACTTTTGGGGAAAAACACTAACAGGGAAATACCTTATTCCGATCTGGTTCATATATTCAAATATTAAACATAGATTCACAAATACTGAAATAAAATGGTAAGTGAAATAAAGAGAAATAAACAAAAAAGAAATTAAATCCAGATTTTAAAAATAAAACTCAATTACATAAAATCATCTTCCATAACAAACGATGCTACATACAGTCATATAACGTTGCAACTAAAATCAAGAATTTTGGCAATATATTATCTGGTATTGCTAATACCTCTACTAACCTCTGATTCATCACCCTTCTCTCTATAAGCAGTAGCAATACTGGTCTGAACAGCCTTAATCCATGCCTGGCGCAGCTTTTCGGAATCTGCCTGGAGCATGCAACTTCTAAAAGGAAATAACATATTGTTTTCTCAGACACTAAGTTAATGCCAAAAACACCCTATAAGCTTTATATTTTTTCCACTTTGCTATTTAATAATTTTCTAGCCAAAAATATATATAATTTGTTGAAAGAAGGTTTTATTTCATGTATCTTTAGGGCAAAGTATGTTAACGAAGAAATTAAGGTGCCAATGAAACAAATTATCTCTTAAAAACAAATAACCCATCACTGAATATTTAAAAAAAAAAAAAACCACTTAAATTTACCATATAAATATAGAAACACTCATTTTTTTTTCTACTGGGTACAAACATAAAATGATAGTTATCAAAGAAACTCATATGATTTCAATTCATCATAATAGCTAAAACTTTCATATGAGCCCATAAATCACCTTTATGGAATTTAAAGAATAGGATAAATGGTAGAAGTTACATAAATACCTGACTATAATATCTGTAACCATTAATTATTGAAAATTATTTTTAAAACTTTTTTTTCTCTTTAGCACAGATACAGACAAATGCAAATTTCTCTACTCTGGAAAGTTATTTAAGACAAACTATAAAAACATAAAAGCAAATCACAGATCCTTTAGAACCACTTACTTTGTTGGCGAGACCACCTCAAAGCAGAATCGTCGCTCTATGTCTTCACAATGTTTCACTGTGCAAAGCCTGAGGTCTTCAACTACCACAGTCGGATTATCCTATAGTGAGGAAACCAAATTTCCATATTTTTCCACTTAGGTTTTAATACTACCAATAATGAAATACTTAAAAATATTACTTGGCATAACTGGTCTAATTTTCAAGATTTATATTTTATTTTAGAAACAGGGGTTATCAATATAGACATAAAAGTAATTTTGTCCTGTTAATAACTGTATCTACCTCATAAATTATATAGAGATTAAATGAAATTGTTTACATATAAAGAGACTGGTCCAACACTTGATACTTAGTAGATGCTCAATAAATGTTAATGTTCTGTGGCTTTTCTTCCATTTTCTTTTATATTCACTCTCCTGGTCCCCACTCACATATAATAAAAGCTACTTTCCTCCAAAAGAGAAGCTTTTATTCAGTCAAGTTTTAAATACCTCAAAGAAAGCTATAACTTCTTAAAATACCTAGGAGAATCAGAAAGATTTTATCACTTTCTACTGTTTAATAAAAATATAAATTCAAAACCAAGTTTATCAGAATAGAAGAAACCATGAACTAATAATTAGCTGATTAAAGGGCTTCTGTCATACAAACCTGCTACCATAGAACCAAGCAAGTAAAATTTCATATTGTGTCATCTCAAGAGTAGAGATTTGAAATCTGCAGTTTACAGAATATCATTCATAAAAAGTAACTAGGTGAAAAGCAAGTTATCCATTAACTAATGATTTATTCTTTTGTTTCTAGTTATTTTAATATTCTCAACTCACATGTAATCCCAATATGTCTTTCCCATAAATAAAACTTCCTCATCCTTAAAATAAGGTTCAGGAAAACAAACATATAAAACGATATTAACAAATTTAAGGGGTTCTATTTAAATTACTTTCAGCTTACATTTTAATTAATGTAATTTTTAACCATTCTGTCCTATAACCTTTGGCCCTATTGTGACATTATTTAAAAGGCACCCTCTCTTTCATCTTCAAAATAGTGCTATGGAATGGCAGTGTTATTTCTGTCATGGACTAGACAAAGATACATATAAAGAAATAAAAGTATGTTGTATATTTCAAAACAGCTAGGAGAAGAGATTTGTAATGTTCCTAAGACAAAAATGTTTGAGGTGATGGATACCCCAGTTACCCTGATTTGATCATCACACGTTGTATACAAGTATCAAAATAGCACATGTACCACAAAAGTATGTACAACTAATATATACCATTTAAAAGCTATCAAAACATTTTAAACAATCCTGTGACCCAGAAAAATCCATCTCAAAGCAAGGAATTAAGAACTCAGGATTCAAATCACTTTGCTTTTAAGAATTAAATGTTGATATTTTCCACCCTAGAGTCCTCTTATACCTGCTCAAACATAAAACTAATAAATAATTACATTAATTTTACACAAATGAGTATGTATAGACTTCAATGTTTACCAAAACAGATAAATAACTGAAACTGGTAACTCACTGGGGTTTCATTTATTAACACCTACCTTAAATTTTTTCTGGTAAACCAACTGATTATTCTGTATTGAAAACCAGCGCCTACAGAAACACAAAATAGATTAAGTTTTCATAAACATAATTTATTTCCATTGTTGTTAGAAATGAAATATTTGAGAAAGCACTGGAAATCACATTGTGTTAATTATGTTTTGAGAAGTCCACTGTATTATTTTGCTTTATATAAACTGATTCTAACATGGGAAAACTACTGAAAGAACAAACATTTTAAAACCACAGGTTAGGAAAATTAAAGTACTACATTTTGATTAATTTCATGTCATAAATTTACATCCTAACAAAAGCAGTTATCCTGTATGCTATCACCAAATAATAACTGTTTTAAAGTACAAATTTACAGCTTTTGAGGTTCCTCAAAAATAACTGAACTCTTTCCCAAGAAATAATTGCTTTTCTCATAAAGTTGGCATAAATGTATATCGTGAATAAAAGTATCCACTTGTGGCCAGGCACGGTGGCTCACGCCTGTAATCCCAGCACTTCGGGAGGCCAAAGTGAGTGGATCACCTGAGGTCGTCAGGAGTTCGAGACCAGCCTGACCAACATGGTGAAACCTAGCCTCTAATAAAATATACAAAAATTAGCTGGGCATGGCAGCAGGTGCCTGTAATCCCAGCTACTCAGGAGGCTGAGGCAGGAGAACCACTTGAACCCGGGAGGCAGAGGTTGCAGTGAGCCGAGATCACGCCATTGCACTTCAGCCTGGGCGACCGAGCAAGACTCCGTCTCAAAAAAAAAAAAAAAGTATCCACTTGTATACAGAAAAACATTGAAATAAATTGTGCTTTATTTTCAACTTTTCAGCAGATAATTCAGTAAGAGTTTGATTTGATAAGCAAAACAGAAAACTAATCATGTCAGAACCGACATCTAACAAGAGACAATCACAAATTAGCTTGGCCTTACTTTCATATAAAATACTCCTAAGTAAAATAATCAAAGTTATTACTACAAATGATTCACTCAACTATTTATATGGTTCTGCTCATTACTGTAAATTATTAGACAAACAATTTACTTACGATCTTTTTTAGAAGAAAAATCTATGCTATGTATTACATATTTACTAATTCTAATTTATTAAAACAATAAAAGACCTAAAGGCATAAAAAAAATTCACAGCCAAAAGCCATTCAGAAAAGAAAGCAAAACTTCTTATCAAGCATGAAAGGTAAAACAGTATTTGAATCATTATTTTAAAATTAGTTTCATGTGAGATGATTTCTATTGTAACATTAGTTATTAATCAATTAGCAGATATTCTACCTTTTCATTGATACTAATATGAAGCATTAGAAATTGTATTTAGAATTTCTATTTTTAAAAATTAAGTTAATTATCCAAAGCTGTTCTCATGTCATGACTAGAAGATGCTTTTCCACTTTTAAGCCATTTACTAGACAGACTTAGGTTTTCTTGTCACTTAAAGAGGAATCGCCTTTACCATTAAAAAAGACATTTGTTAAATAAGCATCTAGATAAAATGAGCTGGGTTGCCTCTAAATGCAAATCATCAAGAGGTAGGCTAGAAAAGGAAGAACTTCTGGGTTTCTTTACTTTGGGACAGATAGTTGGTTAGAAATGTTAAGGAAATACCTACAAACAAACAAAATGGTGCAACCCTGCCACATGGGATGACATGCAATGGAAACAATCTCTGATACTGATGAAAGCGTTTGTGTAAAAATCATTTGAAGTAGGGTGAACTGTAGTCATACAAAATCATTTGTTTTATATCATAGTAAATTCTGTAATTTGATGAAAGCTACGAAGAGTTTTACTGAACAACAAATTATGTAAACTTTTCACGCTTCTGAGGTCTTCAAAAAATTAACTTCTCTTGACCAGCTGCATCTTAGGACAATATCTTCTAAAAATAGTATTAAAACTTATGTTGTTGTCAAAGAGCTAACCCTCTGATTATTAACCTAAGGATCATATGTATTTCTGAAACCCAGTTCCTCTGCCATCGATCTGCTTCTGAATGACGTTTTCATAACATCGATTTTTATAAACTGAGGAAAGAAAATATAAACTCTTAATTTTACATCTCTTAAGGAAAAACGTCATATATCCTAGGTAGAAAACATTTTTTCAATTATTATACTAAGATTTGTGTGTCTTACAACACTATCACTCCTCCATTGCTATTATAAATTAAAAAAACTAGTAACATTGACCAAAACTTTAATCAGTTAAGTAAAAGGGAATATAATTTTTAATTATTTCTATAGAATAATCCTAGTTGTTATTAACATTTCATTGTGGTTTTTTTGTTTTTTTTTTGTTTTTTTTTTTGAAGCAGAGTCTCACTCTGTCACCCAAGCTGGAGTGCAGGGGTGCGATCTTGGCTCACTGAAACTTCCACTTCCTGGGTTCAAGCGATCCTGGTACCTTAACCTCCCAAGTGGCTGGGGTTACAGACACACGCCACCACACCCTGCTAATTTTTGTATTTTTAGTAGAGACGAGGTTTTACCATGTTGGCCAGGCTGGTCTCTAACTCCTGGTCTCAAGCGATCCACCCACCTTGGCCTCCCAAAGTGCTGGGACTACAGGCGTGAGCCACCACGCCCGGCCCTAGTTGTTACTAACATTTCTAAGAAAAGGAAAAGTAAGACTTAAAAACAGCTCATGGACTGTGAAATATAGAAAAAATACTTAACTTTGGATTCAGAAACTGACCACAAAGCCAAAATACAAGACAGTTTTCTGTTTTGTTTTTTGTTTTTGTTTTTGAGATGGAGTCTCACTCTGTTGCCCAGGTTGGAGTGCAATGGCACGATCTCGGCTCACTGCAACCTCCGCCTCCTGAGTTCAAGCGATTCTCCTGCCTCAGTCTCCTGAGTAGCTGGGATTACAGGCATGCACCACCACGCCCAGCTAATTTTTGTATTTTTAGTAGAGACGGGGTTTCGCCATGTTGGCCAAGCTGGTCTTGAACTCCTGACCTCAAGTGATCCACCCGCCTCAGCCTCCCAAAGTGCTGGGATTACAGGCATGAGCCACCGCGCCCTGCCAAGACAGTTTTTAAAATAGAAAAATTTCTTGCTTCATTAAGAAAAATAAGGTATCACTTTGTATCTCAAATTGAAATAACTCAATATAATACACATTTTATTAAATTCTAAATATTATACTTTAAAATATATTTGTTGTAAATATTAAATTTATAAATTATTAAATATTATTAATATTAACATACTAATTAGAGCTTCCAAATGACAAAATTTGGGCAGGAAAAGAAAAAATACATAAACAAAAAATTCGAGTTATCTTTTACCATGTTTGATCACTAGTCCCAGACTGCTCTTGTAATCAAGAACATGAGTAAAAGTCAAACTTCTAAATCTGTAGAAACGTTATCACTAGAACTATACAGATGATGGGTTTATTTACACATTCATGTAAGTGCCAAATAGGTAAACAACTGGTAAAAATTAAAAGCCTGAACATGAATGCTCCTTTACTTCAATTTATTTTTATACAGAGAAAATAAATGGCAAAACAAAAAAAGGTAACGAACTGACAATGTATTCTTTCAACATAATCAATATGGTTTTACCAAAAGGACTAATCCTAGTTACTGCTCAAATTTTTAAAAAGAGTTTACTAGCTTATTTCCCTCTATATTTTTATTTGTTTAGACATATATGTAATTTTTTTTAGAGACAGGGCCTCACTCTGTCACTCAGCCTGGAGTGTCGTGGTGCAATCACAGCTCACTGCAGTCTGGAAATCCTGGGCTCAAGTGATCCTCCCACCTCAGCCTCTGGAGTAGCTGGGACCACAGAGGCATGCCACCACATCCAGCCTTTATTTCTCTTTTCAAAAAAATAAGATATGTTTAAAAAAAAAAGTAAATTACTCAATCTGTATCTTCTTTGGGTAATTATAAATAAATCAAAGATTCCTTTACAGATTAAAACAAATTGAGGAGATGTGCAACTAAAAGGTATAATTCCATTTCTCAAATAAAATAGTTATATTTTCTTCCCAATTTAAAACATAAAGAGACTTTTCATCCATTGCAAGTAATCCAACTGGAATGCAAGTTAATTATGAGCTTTCTCGTGCCAAAAAGGAAACTGGAGTAAGATGAGGGTAAAGGGAAGGAAGCCATTTGGTACCTGATGTGATCGGGCTTTTTCCTGTCGTGTGAAAAAACGGGGCAGGATTAAAACATAAGGGAAAGGTGGTAAAAGAATGAAAACGAAAAATGTGCAAAATAAGCAAAGGACTAGCATGATACGAAAATAAAGCAAGAATTAAGAAACAAGCTTAAGCTCTGAACCTAACAAAATAATCAAAAGTATCTGTTGCATTTTATTAACTTTTTATACACATATGCATTTGTACAATTAATTCCAACTCTTAAGACTCTGAAAATTTCAGGAATATTCAAAAAGTTCTTCAAATACTACATTACAGGAAGTTCTGGTAGGATTTAGCATACTTGGATATACCTCTACTATTATTTTCTGCCTCAATGGTCATGGCTATAAAATATAGATAGCACCTCGCGCCTCATCTTAATAAGCTGCTCCTAAAAGTTCAGGAAAACAATCACTGTAGGAATTGCCTGTATAAACCTGAGATAAATGAAAAGTCTTCATAAAGAAAGTAGGTTCACTAAATAGAGGATGTCAAAGATTATAAAATATTAGGCAAATAAACATTTCTCCCAATTGCCCATCCCGTTTTCATGAAATGGTTATCAGTGACTTGAAAGCCACACATACGTAGTATTAATCTTTAATCCATGTATATACTTCTTATAATACAAAAGGCCAATAGAAATAAAACATTTACATCTATACCAGCAGCATACAGAACATTTTGCTTTAAAATCCTGTGTAGTACCTTCTATGCTCTTAGCTGTATTTTCTATTTCAACAAAGACTGAGCATAGCAAGTAATTATTCAGTTTTATTAGTTTTTCCAAGTTATCACTAAATAAATTATGTTAGTATCTATTTATTTTCCTTCATCTTTTCAGAATTTAATCATAAAAAGCAAAAGAGAATATAAGTTCTAATAATCCACTAATTTGAGCCTGAAAGGAAGCTGCCACACTGAGAAAATGACCCAACAAAGAAAGATTATTGTGGTGACTTCACTTATATCTTCAGAAAAATATATTTTATAGATTTATAAAATTTTTGAGATATTACCAACTACAACAGTTCACATAAGACATAAAACTTTTCACTTATGCTATTTCAATCGCATCATACAAAATATTATCTATTCACTTAAATTCCAGATTTTGGAATGACCTGAAATACACTTGTAATTTATGAAGCACAAAGTGAGGTTTTATTAAAACTATCTGGAAATTCCTAGTCACACTCACATTTCCCTGAGGAAGAAAATTTTGTTGTTTTTTTTTTTTTTAATTTTTGTGGGTACATAGTAAGCGTATCTTATTTATGGGAGAAAGAAGATTTTTTTTTTTTCTTTTTTTGAGACGAAGTCTCACTCTGGTTGTCCAGGCTGGAGTGCAGTGGTAAAATCTCGGCTCACTGCAACCTCTGCCTCCCTGGGTTCAAGTGATTCTCCTGCCTCAGTTTCCCGAGGAGCTGGGATTACAGATGCGTGCCACCATGACCAGCTAATTTTTATATTTTTAGTAGAGACAGGGTTCTCGCCATGTTGGCCAGGCGGGTCTTGAACGCCTGACCTCAAGTGATCTGCCCACCTCGGCCTCCCAAAGTGCTGGGATTACAGGCATGAGCCACCATGCCCAGCCAGAAGGTCTTTTTAAATAGTTGATTTTGATAAGACTCTACGCAATAATTCCATAGAAGTATAGGTAATAGCAAATGTGTGGTACCCTATGGTGACTAAAACAAAAAACGTGCCCTAAAAGTAATCCATAAACAATCCCAAAAAAATATTTAAATAGCAGGCAGAAAAATCTTCATATTTGAATCACTGGATTCCTGAATTTTTTAAATTAACTCACCAATATCATAAACACAGTCTTTTACTCAAAGTCCAGTAAAATAAATTAAGCTGCGCAGAGAATTGGATTTTGAGATACTTTAAGAAATTTAAATTCCAAATTTTTAACATTAAAAAGCAGAAGAGAATTCTAAGTAACATTTAAAAGATTACTCTTCTTTCCTCTCCCTTCTGTCTAGTTCCTTATCTATCACCTAGAAAATACTTAAAGACTTTAGTCACAAGGTTTGGACTTTCACTGATTGGCTGATTGAGACAGGGTCTCCGTCACCCAGGCTGGAGTGCAGACGCACAATGCAGAGGCTCACTGCAGCCTCAATCTCTTGGTCTCAAGCGGTCTTCCCGCCTCAGCCACCTGAGTAGCTGGGGCTACAGGCACCACACCACCACACCTGACTAATTTTTATATTTGTTTTTTGTAGAGATGGGGTTTCACCATGTTGCCCAAGCTGGTCTCCAATTCCTGGGCTCAGGCAATCTGCCTGCCTTGGCCTCCCAAACTGCTGGGATTAGAGGCATGAGCCACAATGACTGGCCTTATATGCTATATTCTTTTACAAGTCAGAATTTTACTAGTGTTTTTGGCAAACGTTCTTCAATAGCATGTGAAAATGATATTAATTTGCTATCCATAATTTTTCCTAATAACGTAAGTGCTTCAGGAAGTTCTTTTAAAATGAAGTATTTTTTCATAGTTGAAGTTGTATCTTGTTCTATCAAAATAAAGATGGTTTGGAATTTTCACAGCAAGTAAGAAAAATGCCATAGGATACTTGAGGAAGAGTTCAGAGTTCCAGGTTTTGCCCCTCAATTTGTTCACAAACCAGCTGTGTGATCTTGAAAAAGTGACTATGTCTCTGAAGCTCCATTTCTTTACTGAAAATAAGGGGCTCTACAATCTATGATTCTAGTCAATAACTGCCATTTCACTACACATAGATGGCATCTCCTTTAAAAACAGCCTAATTTCCAAAGGCATTGTTTTTTTCACTTTGTAAATAGGAGGTAATGTCTACAACTGAAAATTTAACCATTATTCCTTACTTGATTTTAGCTGCATTTTAATATCTATGCCAATGTAATTCAGAAAATTAATCATAATGAAAAGGTTCATGTATAAATCAAAATCGACTTCCTTCTATTGTCCTAAATGGCAGTGCAATATTCTACTAACACTTACTATGCTTCATTTTGAAGTCTGAGACCATCTCTCATTGTAGTAGTCCATGGAAGTTCATTTCTTTTCTTCTTAACATAATGGTATGTTTCTATGGATTTACTGTATTTTCACTTTGTTAAACTTTAAGTAGGTTGCTTTGAAATCTGAAGGCTAAAATTCAATTCTGCCATTATATCATGAAAACATACTGGTGAGTAACCTTTATTATAAAGACTCACCAGTCAAGCTGGGTTTTTTTTGTTTTTTTTTTTTTCCAACTTCTACTCTGGCTACAGAAATTTGTCAGGAAAGGCTTAGAAGACTACTGTCTTACTTTTTAGAGCTTAGAAAATGTAATTTTAAGTTTTCATTTTCACTTTAGCTAGAAACATTATTTCTAACCACACCACTTGAGTTGGTCCACCTATATTCATGTACTATTCTTATGTTTATTTATTTATTTATTTATTTAAGAGACAGAGTCTCACTGTGTCGCCCAGACTGGAAGTGCAGTGGCACAATCTTGACTCCTACAACTTCTGTCTCCTAGGTCCAAGCAATTCTTCTGCCTCAGCCTCCCAAGCAGCTGGGATTACAGGCATGCGCCACCACGTCCAGCTAATTTTTTCTATTTTTAGTAAAGACAGGGTTTCACTGTGTTGGCTAGGCTGGTCTCAAACTCCTGGCCTCAAGTGATACACCCACCTCAGCCTCCCAAAGTGCTAGGATTACAGGCATGAACCACCATGTCCACCACATGTATTATTTTTAAAGCTCTCTAAACTCAGGTTTAACATCAAATATAATCATTATTCTTTCCATTTTATATTAACTCTCAGGTTCAGAAAAATTATTTTGAATAAAACAAACCATCTACCATGTAAACATCTGGCAATATCAAATGCTGGGGAAATGCTCAATAAATCACTGACTTTCAGAAATGTCAGTGAATTTTTTTTTTTTTTTTTTTTTTTTTTTTTGAGACAAGAGTCTCACCCAGGCTGGAGTGCAGTGGTGCAATCTCGGCTCACTGCAGCCTCTGCCTCCTGGGTTCAAGCAATTCTCCTGCCTCAGCCTGCCGAGTAGCTGGGATTATAGGCATACACCACCACGCCAGGCTAATTTTTGTATTTTTAGTAGAGATGGGGTTTCACCATGTTGGCCAGGCTGGTCTCAAACTCCTGACCTCAAGTGATTCACCTGCCCCAGCCTCCCCAAGTGCTGGGATTATAGGCGTGAGCCACCGTGCCCACCCAGTGAATGTTTTTTCTATATAACCTTGACACCAAGACATAAAAATAATTACACTAGAAACCCATTTTAATAAAACATTAAATTTTTCCATTTAACAAAAATGTACACAAAGTTAAACTTACTAGGAAATTATATTTACTTTACTAATGTCCATTTTTTTAAAATAAAAACAACCTTCATCATTAAATTCATATTCTCTTCAAGTAATAAACACATTATAACCAATAATATAATAGTAAATCAACCAGAATCCAACTACTACTCATATTACAGAATTTTTTTGACTACTTTTTTATTTTTGGCAAAAATAGAGGCATCCTTGAATAAAAGATAATCACTGATACCCAGAAGAATGATCCTGCGACAACCAATCTTTTGGTTGAAGCTTTAATGTCTGAAGTTATTTCATTTTAGTATATTACTACATGAGAAAATACAATGAAATATTTTATACATTCTTTTAACAGACATTTAACAGATTTATATTTTATAAAAATTTGTTTAGCAACACCTTCAAAGTTTTTGGTAGCCATCAAGTTTAGAATAAAGGAGCATCAACTGCCACAGCTTCATATATGAAAAAAATCCTATTTCCTAAAACTCCTGTTTTATTGAAGTTATTGCAAAGATCAAAAGATCAGGATCACCTAGCTTAAAGATTCATAAGCATTTTGTTCACAAAGGGCAGGAAAAAAAAAAGATTCATAAGTGATAAGGAC
The DNA here is from genome assembly GCF_000001405.40 of Homo sapiens. Lineage (NCBI taxonomy): Eukaryota > Metazoa > Chordata > Mammalia > Primates > Hominidae > Homo > Homo sapiens. The sequence continues at coordinate 195,317,916 of NC_000003.12, forward strand.
TGGCTCTGTGTCACTACCCAAATCTCACCTTGAACTGTAATCCCCACATGCCATGGGCGGGATGTGGTGTGAGGTGACTGGGTCATGCAGGCGGTTTTCCCCATGCTGTTCTCGTGATGGTGAGGGAGTTCTTAGGAGATCTGATAGTTTAAAAGTGGCAGTTTCCCCTGAGCTCTCTCTCTCCTACCACCTTTGTGAGGAAGATGCCTGCTTCCCCTTCTGCCATAATTCTAAGTTTCCTGAGGCTTCCCCAGCCATGTAGAACTGTGAGTCAATTAAAACTCCTTTCTTTATAAATTACCCAGTCTCAGGTAGTATCTTTATAGCAGTGTGAACATGGACTAATACAGAGAACTGGTACCAGCAGAGTGGGGTACTGCTGCAAAGATAATCTGAAAATGTGGAAGCCACTTTGGAAATGAGTAACAGGCAGAGGTTGGAACAGTTTGGAGGGCTCAGAAGGCAGGAAGATGAGGAAAAGTTTGGAACTTCCAAGAGACTTGTTGAATGCTTTTGACCAAAATGCTGATACGGATATGGACAATGTAGTCCAGGCTGAGGTGGTCTCAGATGGAGATGAAGAACTTATTGGGAACTGGAACAAATGTCACTCTCGCTATACTTTAGCAAAGAGACTGGCAGCATTTTTGCCCCTGCCCTAGAGATCTGTGGAACCTTAAACTTCAGAGAGAGGATTTAGGATATCTGGCAGAAGAAATTTCTAAGCAGGAAAACATTCAAGAGGTGACTTGGATTTCCCGAAAGTGTACCATTATATGCGTTCACAAAGAAAAGATAAGAAATTGGAACTTAGTTTAAAAGGGAAGCAGAGCATAACAGTTTGGAAAATTTGCAGCCTGACCATGAGGTATAAAAGAAAAATCCATTTTCTGAGGAGAAATTCAAGCCAGCTGCAAAAATTTGCAAAAATAATGAGGAGCTGAATGTTTACATCCAAGACAATGGGAAAAATGTCTCCAGGGCATGTAAGAAATCTTTGAGGCAGCCCCTCCCATGACAGGCCCAGAAACCTAGGAGGGAAAAAATAGTATTGTGGGCCAGGGCCCAGGACCCTGCTGCTCTGTGCAGCCTTGGGACTTGGTGCCCTGCAACCCAGGCACTCCAATTCCAGCCATGGCTAAAAGAGGCCAAGGTACAGCTCGGGCCACTGCTTCAGAGTGGGCAAGCCCCAAGCATTGGTGGCTTCCATGTGGTATTAGGCCTATAGATGCATGGAAGACGAGAATTTAGGTTTGGGAAACTCCACCTAGATTCCAGAGGATGTATAGAAATGCTTGAAGGTCCAGGCAGAAGTCTGCGGCAGGGGAGGAGCCCTCATGGAGAACCTCTCCTAAAGCAGTGCAGAAGGGAATATGGGATTGGATCTCCCACATATAGTCCCCACTGTGGCACTGCCTAGTGGAGCTTTGAGAAGAGGGCCACCATCCTCCAGACCCCAGAAGGGTAGATCCACCAACAGCTTGCACCATGCACCTGGAAACACCGCAGGCACTCAATGCCAGCCCATAAAAGCAGCGCAGGGGCTACACTCTGCAGAGCCACAGAGGTGGAGTTGCCTAAGGCCATGGGAACCCACCCGCTGCATAGCCTGCCCTGGAATGTGAGACATGGAGTCAAAGGAGATTTTAGAGCTTTAAGATTTAATGACTGCCTGGCTGGGTTTCGAACTTGTGTGGGGCCTGTGACCCCTTTGTTTTGGTCATATTTTCCCATCTGGAATGGGAACATTTACCCAATGCCTGTATTTCCCTTGTATCTTGGAAGTAACTAACTTGTTTTTTATTTTTACAGGCTCACAGACAGAAGGGACTTGCCTTGTCTCAGATGAGACTGTGGACTTGGACTTTTGAGTTAATGCTGGAATGAGATAAGACTTTGGGGAACTGTTGGGAAGTCCTGATTGATTTTGAAATGTGAAAAGGACATGAGATTTGAGAAAGGCCAGGGATGAAATATGGTTTGGCTCTGTATCCCCACCCAAATCTCATCTTAAATTGTAATCCCCACATGTTGAAAAAGGGACCTGGTGGGAGGTGACTGGGTCATGGGAGCGGTTTCCCCCATGCTGTTCTCATGATAGTGAGGGAGTTCTCACAAGATATAATGGTTTAAAAGCGGCAATTTCCCCTGAGCACTCTCTCTCTGCTGCCTTGCGAAGAAGATGCCTGCTTTCCCTTCACCTTCTGCCATGACTGTAAGTTTCCTGAGGCCTCCCCAGCCATGGAGAACTGTGAACCAATTAAAACTCCTTTCTTTATAAATTACCCAGTCTCAGGTAGTATCTTTATAACAGTGAGAAAATGGACTAATACAATAAGCAAACACTAAGTAAAAATGTACATAAACATCATATAGAGGAGAAACCAAAAGAAAAAAGAAAGCTCACTTGTCCTATTCATCTATCATATTCATAATTTGTACTCAAATCTATTTTATAACAAATATAGGAGGTAGACCATATTCAAAATTTATTTACTATAATGAGCTAGCCACTATAGACCAAGCATTATAAAAATTCTCCTTGCTTCCTTATTTAATCCTTGCTTCCTTATTTAATCCTTGCTTATTTTTAGAATTTAGAATTAACGATTTTATTCTTCACCTGCTTCTAAAGGGCATCTATCTTCAATAGACTGGGTTCAGGAAAGTTTCTATGGAATTTACAGAAGTTAAAGAACTATAAAGGAGAGAGTTGTCAAATCACAGGGAAAGTCAGAAAATCAAAACTATGTATAGATCAAGACTAGTATTTGAAATATATTACCTGTTCCAAGTTTTGAAGGCATTGCTGGCTCGTTTGAACAGATATCCTTCCATAACTATGCCATTTGCAGCATCTACGTTATATTCTAACTTAGAATCATCACTGGAGAAATCCTACACAAAATAACACATAAAGAAGTTCATATGACTTGACTAAGTTTCCTAGACAAGAAATGGATCCTAAGAAAAGAGTTCAAAAGGAAGAAAAGGTTTATATTAAGACAGTTACAACAATATTAATAAGAAAAATGAAGGGGGACTTAAATGATCAATAATAAAGAAATGTTTCAATACATTAAAGTATTTGACTTTAGTGGATTATTTTATGCAATACTTATTGTGATGACGTAAGGACATATAATTATATAGAATATAGTGCAAAACAGAAAATAAATCAATATAAACTATATATACATTGTGATTAAAAGCACAAAATAATATGTATACAAATAAACAAGGGAAACAACTAAATACTACACAGGGTATGACGTTTAAAATTCTTTTGTTTTATCACAACTTTTTTTTTTTTTTTTTTTTTTTTGAGACAGAGTCTCGCTCTGCTGCCCAGCCTGGAGTGCAATGAAGTGATCTCAGCTCACTACAACCTCTGCCTCCCGGGTTCAAGTGATTCTCCCGTCTCAGTCTCCCATGTAGCTCGAATTACGGACATACGCCATCATGCCCAGCTAATTTTTGTAGAGACAGGGTTTCACCATGTTGGCCAGGCTGGTCTTGAATTCCTGACCTCAGGTGATCTGTCTGCCTCAGTCTCCCAAAGTGCTGGGATTACAGGCATCACAACATTTTATGGTGATATGTGTTAACAATTTTTTAAAGTATATGGTTATATTTAATTGGGATTATTTAAAGTTACCACTATTTTCTAAATATATTACTACCATGGTAGTTCCTTTTTTTTTTCTTTTTTTTTTGAGACTGAATCTCACTCTGTCACCCAGGCTGGAGTGCAGTGGCACAATCTCAGCTCACTGCAACCTCTGCCTCCCCGTTCAAGTGATACTCCTGCCTCAGCCTCCTGAGTAGCTGGGACTACAGACGTTTGCCACCATGCCCAGCTAATTTTTGTATTTTTAGTAGAGACAGGATTTCACCATGTTAGCCAGGCTGGTCTCAAACTCCTGACTTCAAGTGATTCACCTGCCTCAGCCTCCCAAAGTGCAGGAATTACAGGTGTGAGCCACTGAGCCCAGGGGTGGTAGTCCTTCAATCTGACACTGTCTATGGCATTTTTTCCTAAAATAAAATTTAGTTTTCAAAGGAAACAGATCTTAGTCTACAGTTTGAAGTGGGCAAGTTGAACTCACTTTTTTATGAGTACTATGAAATCACTCATAGTCTTCTTCTAGCGTTCTAATTATCTAAATCTTCACCTGAATGCAATTTAAACTTCCAATTTTCTTCCACACATTCATGAAGTTTGGAAATCAGAAATTCAATATTTAAAATATTGCCTAACAAACTTCAAAGCATTTTGAACACAACTCTAAGACTGCTGTTTTCAGCAAATTTAAAACTCTAAAGCCAGTCCCATAACTTTTAAAATTCCTCCTGGACCAATAATTAAAATTAGAATTCTACCCTATTAAGGAGCAGTAAACGTCCTGTCTTGGGAAACATTTTGGCAGTATCTACTGAGATGCTGGGGCCTTGCACCAGAGGGAAGGCAGAGGGACAACCATCTAAGGGCCCTCCAAATTTAAAAGTGTACTAAGTCAGGAACAGGAAACAGACTAAATTCAGAATTTCAAAAGAGAAAAAAAAATAACCTCTCCTGACACCTTTGAAACTTTAACCACGAAAAGACCTGATAATCCAAAATAATCAAATGAAGGAGAATCTGTAAACAAATTGCTACATTGCTTCCTACTTTTTCTTTGGGGGAAAAAAAAATCAGGGAAACTTTAATGCCCTCATTTAAAATTTATTTGACGCTACAATTTATTTAATTATACAGAGAGAATTAAGGAAGCAGTAAATATAAATATAATTGACTTTGTTAACATTCTAAAGGTTTCATTTGTAACATCTGCAGTTTTTCAAAACCTTGGTCAACTTAAAAGACTTCTTTGAAAGTGCAGGGCATTACAAGTGTTTCTCTAATTTTCAACTATACTTCTTGAGATAAATTGTCTTCAATTTAATTACTATTAATATCAGCTAATATTTTGTAGTACTTAAAATGTGACAGATTTCATAACTTTAGCAATGAAATATGTTGGATGAAAGACATAGTGTTAGAATCTCCTTAAATACACTGATGACCTGACAAACTAGGAAGGAATACTCAAAGGCAAGAGACTGAGTGAAAACTGGAATTCAAAGAGGTAAGGAGAGCAAGGGCATCTGCCTATCAGGAGAACTTGAGTTTTGGTGTGAGGTCCAGGGAACAGAATGCAAAACCAAGGCTGGTCAAAGGGGAATCTAATAGAAACTTTCCCTTTGAAACAGCAAACAAGACAAGAAAAACCATTATTACCACTCTCACTCAAGATCATGATGAAACTCCTAGCCAGCAAAATAACAAAAAAAGAGTACAAGATTGGAAAGAAAGGAAAAAACCATCATTATTGGTAGATGATAACACTTCATACACAGAACATCCAAAATAATTGAGAGATAAATCAATATTAAAAGAGATTACTAGTTACAAAATCAATACAGAAAAATCAATTTTATCGCAAACAGAACAGTGGTAAAATAAATAAATTTAAAGATAACATTTAGAATACAAGTGTCTAGGAATAAATCTAACAAAAGATGTACAAGAAAAATCATAAAACTTTATGAAAGCCATTAAAGAAAACTTAAATGGAGAATATACCAAGCACACAGATTTGAAGATATAATAAAGATATTAATTTTGATTCATACAAAATTGAAGGAGGGAAGGTAGGAAGCTTTGCTATTAGATATCAAGAATTTGCCGGCCAGGAACAGAATGACAAACATTCATGTTCTCACTTATTTGTGGGATCTAAAAAATAAAACAACTGGACTCAGGGAGCTGGAGAGTAGAAGGATGGTTACCAGAGGCTGGGAGTGGTGGTGGGAACTGGGGGTGTCAGCGAGTGGGGATGGTTAATGGATACAAAAAAAAAACAGAATGAATGAGACCTAGTATTTGATAGCACAACAGGGTGACTACAGTCAAAATAATTTAATTGTACATTTAAAAATAATTAAAAGAATACAATAGGATTGTTTGTAACACAAAGGATAAATGCTTGAGAGGATGGATACCCCGTTTTCCATGATGTGATTATTATGCATTGCATGCCTGTATCAAAATATTTCATGTACCCCATAAATAATACCACCTACTATGTACTAACAAAAATTAAAAATGAAAAATAAAAATGAAATAAAAAAATTTTTAAAAGGATTTGATCAACAATTAGGCAACCTGGTGGGAAAATGAGATAAAGACTAATAGTTCACAAATAGGATATCCAAATGACCAATGAATATAAGATGCCCATTAGTCACTAAAGAAGTCACTCTAAAGCCAAAAATAATTAAGACAGCATAGTATTGACAGTTTAGACAAAAAGACAGTGAAACAGAATAGAGAAACTGAAATGGGCCTCACATATATGGAAATGTGATATATAACACAGGATATACCACAGAGCATTTGGGAAAGAGCAAACTTTTTAATAACTAGTCTGGATCAACTGACTACCAGTGAGAGAATTAAAGGAAACTAGATCTCTACCTCACACCACACACAAAAACCCAATTAAAGACCTAAAAAGCGGCACGGTGGCTCACACCTGTAATCCGAGCACATTGGGAGGCCGAGGTGGATGGATCACCTGAGGTCAGGAGATCAAGACCATCCTGACCAACATGACAAAACCCCATCTCTACTAAAAATACAAAAATTAGCTAGGCATGGTGGCGTGCAGCTGTAATCCCAGCTACTTGGGAGGCTGAGGCAGGAGAATCACTTAAACCCAGGAGGCGGAGGTTGTAGTGAGCAGAGATCGCGCCACTGCACTCCAGCCTGGGCGACAGGACCAAAATAAAATAAAATAAAATAAAAAATAAAGATCTAAAAAGCAAACCTATAATACAAGAGATATCTCTTCATGATCTTGAAATGGAAAGGATTTACTGAACAACACACAAAAAGCATCAACCGTAAGACTGATAAAAATAAGCTATATGAAAATTAAAAACACATATGCCTCAAATATATTATGAATTTGATCAAACATCAGGCAGCCTGGTGGAAAAATGAGAGAAAGATTAACAGACGTTTTACAAATAAGATATGCAAAAGACCAATAGATATAAGATAAGGTGCTTAAGCTCATTAGTCACTGAAGAAGTTAAAACTACAAGAAGATGTCTATATCTACTGATCAAATGGGCCAAAATCTGAAAGTCTCATAATATAATGAGCTGGCAAATAGGAACTCTCATATAGTGCTATCTGCTAAGATAGTATAATATTTTGAAAAACAATGTAGCATTATCTACTTATGCTAAATGACCTGCTAATGCTAATACACCTTCTAACTCAGCAGTTTTACTCCTAGGTATAAATACATGAGAAATGTAAAATGCGTGCACGTATCTGCACATGAATGTTCAAAGCACCACTGTTTCTCCAATTGATCAATTTAAATTTTTGAAAAAATCTACATAACTACAGGAGACATACTTTCCCTTAGTTTTTAGTGGACTGATTTTTTTTTTTTTTTTTTTTTTTTTTTACCTGTAACGCAGCCTTGTGTCAGCATTTAGGGGCAGAAAAGAGGTCAGTATTCATAATAAGCAAAAAATAGCATCATTTTCTTTAAAGGAAAACAGTTGAATATTATTTAAAATCAAATAAATTATTCTTAGAGTTAATAATTTACCATTTTTGAAGCTTCAGTACAACACTGAACTGTGTCCACAATAGGAAAAGATATTAAAAGATGCATAATGTTTATTAAGTAATTCAATTTAAGGAAATATTCAGATAGTTCTACAAATACCATGATATCTCATTTTAATTAAAAACAATTGGTCCCAATTTTTAGCAATCTTTTCATGATCATGTCATTAAAACTCATTACCCATGAACACATCATACTGTACACTCTAATTATGTAAAATTTTTATCTGTCAACTTAAAATAAAAAGTTAACCAAACAAAAGTTAATCTAACTGTAAACGAAACAAAATAAAACGTGGAGTTTGTCTCACCTGACACTAACTAGAAAGTAACTAACTTAAAGATGGTCTTGTAGAAATCTTTCCTTTAATTATTTTTCTTTGAGCATTAATAATCCATCATCAATTAAATTTTTCTTACTTTTATTATGATTTTGTTTTCATTTTTTTCCACTGACATCTTCTATATCAGATCTAGTTTACTGGTATTTTAAATTCTAAATAAACCATAAAAAAGTTGATTTTACTGCTCAATACCAAGAAAACAGATTTCTTAAAGCAATGCCAGAAGGCATCCTGTGCGTACTTATATTTCTATATTCAACTTCAGCACTCTCCTTTTATTTTCAGATAACTACACAAAAAGCACCACTGACTTTATAAGAAAGTTGAGTTGCAGGAATGTCACACTAAACTCTTTTAGCATGAAGAAATAAAAACTGGTTTAATATTTGAGTTCTCATTTTTAAAAATATTTTCAAAGTAAGTTTAGCTAGGCTTAGACAATTTAACAGGCAATGCAAGTGAAGTTTTAGCATCTCGTGACAGAGAGGAAAGGCTGCCTTGCAGTGACTGCAGTTGGAAAGTCTGTAAGACCAAACACGCATGTTGACACTAAGGTGCATCCACACCCTCTGCCCCACAACACACACACGGACACACACTTTTACAGGGAGTTGGTGGTATCCTAAATGTAATTATGAATAGTGTTTTGAATTCTAACTAAAGGCCACTTTTAGCTTAGTTAAGTTCCTAAGAGATTCAAATTTTTATAAACTGGTTCAAGAAGCATAGCTTTCAAAGATCTGAAAAAATAACAAAATACATACCTTAAAATCTGAAGAACATTTTGCTCTTCAAAAACAAAAGAGGAATTTATCTGCACAATTATTAGAACAACTCAAAAGATTTGTTCCAATACAATGATACCTTGCATAAACCAACACCCAAGCCATTGTATAAAGTGGAATTAATTTTTAATTTTTCCCCTGAGGTACCTTTTGTTGAATGGTGGAATGTTTTTGCTCCATTTCTCTTTTCTCCTTTGCTGCATCCACAACCAGTCGATCCAACTGTAAAAAGGGAAAAGAGAAAACTGCAGACTTAAAAAAAGTATGGATTAGTTTTTCAAACCATATTCCAAATCATTTCACAGATAAATAAAAAATCACTCAATTTAAGCTGATTTAATAAAGTTTTGGCTAAATTTTGAAGTAGAAGTTCATATTTTTTTCTGCTATCAAGTTCTCTTTGAGAAGATCCATATCTCCACTAGAAAATAAAAATTTCCAAGAACAGTCATGGTGCCATACATATACGATTGCAGACCGTGTCACAGGTACCCCAGTGATACACGTTCAATCCCTGAATAACGAAAATGACTCTAGCTTAGGCTCCTGCTGACCCACTAAGCAAATTCTGGTAGTTAAAATCAAAGACACGAAGAAGACACTAGTGACTTCTTTCCCAAACAGCAAAAAGCAGTGCAGCTAAACTAGTATTAACCAGCTAACCTAGCTCTCACAAATTCACTCTAACAGCTACTTCCAACCATTCAAGATGCTTCTTCATGTTTTCAGGTTGGCTCCCTAATGTCATACTCAAATCTAAAAAGAAGAAAAAATAATTCATGAGATAAAAGAGAAAGCTAAAAATAATAATAATAAAAGAATAGTAATCATTCATAAGACCAAGGTAGGAAATCGGCAATTCTTAAGGCTCATTTTTAAAAGCTCAAAAAACTTAATAAAACCATAAAACCTGGCCGGGCGCAGTGGCTCACACCTGTAATCCCAGCACTTTGGGAGGCCAAGGTGGGCGGATCACGAGGTCAGGACTTCGAGAACAGCCTGGCCAACATAGAGAAACCCCGTCTCTCCTAAAACTACAAAAAATTAGCTGGGCATGGTGGCAGGTGCCTGTAATCCTACCTACTCGGGAGGCTGAGGCAGCAGAATCACTTGAACCCACGAGGCAGAGGTTGCAGCAGGCCAAGATCGCACCACTGCACATTAGCCAGGGTGACAGTGCAAGACTCCATCAGCCCTCCACCAAAAAAAAATATATATATATGTATATATATAACCCATTTTTTTCTTGTTCCTTGGCGTTAGAAAGGATATCCATCATGAGGGAAGTATTTGATTTCCAGTAACATGTCACGAGAAATGCACTGGCTTCTTGAAATCCTATTTGCTAAACTAACAATAATTGGGTTATACATTATTAATTATGTGGGTTTCATTGTCTAGACTATGATGATGCCTTTCCAACTCTGAACCTCCATCACCTCTAAATGATTAACACATGTTCGATAAGTGAATAAATTAAAACATACATATCAGATCAGCAGGAATATGGAGAAAGATAAGCATTAAATGTCTACACATTTTAAGTTATATTTTTTTAAAACTAAATTTTTAAAAAGTCTTTTTCAAAAAAACTATTTGATCCCTTATCACAAATGATGTTTTTTCTACAGAAGAATAATTCTAGTCACAGATAATATTACTGAATAGTAATAAAGATTAACCAAAAAAAAATCCACAATGAAACAGATCTATCACTATTATAAAGTACGTGATACAGGTGGCAACTATGCTACTCTATGATCTAATACACACATACCTTAGTGACACGTAGCATTGATTTAGTGGGTAATACCGTACATGGTGCGCTAGAAAAATATACTCTCACAGAAGTTTCTTAAGCGGAATGAGTGGACTAACCATCCTAGGGGTTTTATGGCTCTGAGTGGCATATGAATATTACTCATTCATTCAGACTGAAATGCAGTACAAGGTAGCCCTCAAATTCAAAATATTTACAAATATGCACGCATATACTTTACATATGAATTCTGCAATGTAGGTGATGGTCTTCTGCCTAATTGGTAAGAAATGTCTCTTGCGGCTGGGCGTGGCGGCTCACGCCTGTAATCCCAGCACTTTGGGAGGCCGAGATGGGCGAATCACAAGGTCAGTAGATCGAGACCATCCTGGCTAACACGGTGAAACCGTGCCTCTACTAAAAATACAAAACAATTAGCCGGGCGTGGTGGCGGGCGCCTGTGGTCCCAGCTACTCGGGAGGCTAAGGCAGGAGAATGGCGTGAACCCGGGAGGCGGAGCTTGTAGTGAGCCAAGATCACGCCACTGTACTCCAGCCTGGGCAACAGAGTGAGACTCCGTCTCAAAAAAAAAAAAAAAGAAAGAAAGAAAAAAGAAATGTCTCTTGCATCTCTAACCAAAAAAGTGGGGACAATTCTCCCTCTCTGATGGGGAAAAAGAATAAAGAAAAAATATCTTTCATGATGGTTGGAGTTTGGGGGAAGGCATGAGTTGGGGAAATGTGAAGACTGGCAGAGTCTTATCTTCTAGACATGGGGAAATGTATCAGGAAGATAACTTGGAGCAGAGTAAAAAGGGTCCCGTGTTTGTGTTAGTACTGGACATTATCAATGTTAATAGGTTCCTATAACTAAGCAGGTATCCCTGGTCCTTCTGTGTTTTAAATCCCTTCCACTCCCACAAACCTCAGATCCCATCACTTCTCTTTCTCCTTTTCAACTTCTCCCTCTTGAACTACCATCTGCTTTTAAGTTGGTGCAAACCATTCTACCTTAATAAAACTGCTAACCCATACTCTTTTTCCAGCTACCACATTCTTTCCCTCTTTCCTTCATAACACAACTTCTTTAAAATATTACCACCTTCTGTATCTGCCCATTTCATATTCATCTACCCACTGTCATTCCGCTTCTACTGCCTGGGTCCCCAGCTCCATGGAAACAGCATCTCTCACAGAGGTAACAACTTTTTGCTGCTAAATCCAACAGGTATTTCTCAGTCCTAGGTTTACTTAACTTTCTAATAATGGAAGCTGATAACCACTCCTTCCCTTTGAAAGACTTTTCCTGGCCTACAATGCCAGTCTCCTGTTTTTCCACTTCCTCACTCATCTATGTCCTAACGCAGCTTCTCTTACCTTAGCCATCTCAAAATTTAGTCTTTCTTATGTCCCCGCCCCAAGTCAGCTTCTCTTTTTACTCAATACCAGTGGACCTCAGCCTTAACTTACAAAATGAAAATCTTCATGTATGGTGTCTAGGCAACTAGATTTTTTTAAATAGCTCTATGATTCAGAGATATCTAACTCACCCCCCATCAACTCACCCACTCTTGTGGTTGCAATCAGCAAGTATACGCTACTGATTCATTTAGTCTATCTCCCTCTTGAGCTCCGCATATATCCACTTAGACGTCTTATCCTCACAAATCAATATATTTAAGCATGAATTCGTCACGCCCTTCCACCCTCGAATTGGCTGTATATTAACCCTCAAATCTAACCATTTCTATCTCTACTGCCATGACTTTAGTTTCAGATGCCATTATCTACTAATTATGAAAAGAATATCGTAATTGGCCACCTCCAACCCGGCCATCTTATCCACTAGGCACTATAGGCTCTGGGGCTTAGATGTTTTTCAAGGACCTGCAGACTTATTTGAGATCTAGAGAGGGGGTAAACCTATAAAACTAAAATGATTAAATGTTTTAAAAACACATAATTTTTTCAGCTAGTCAACTGCAATTCAACTCATACTGCTTTTATAAATTACACTGAACATAAGATGAGAGCGCAATCTAATATTTGATAGTGTGTGAGGAATGTCTAAAACCCAGGAAGGTCTCTCCTTACCCCCAAGTCTGGCTTACATGTCCTGTCTATATGTTCCTGCAACACTTTGACCCTTCCCTATATGGTGGAAAAGGCCAGCTGTCCCTCAATATCTATTTTCTCCTTCTTCCTTAACAATGGAACCCCTAAATTCTAGCAGGTCACGTGGCTACCTGGCATTAACGTTAATTTCCCTTGCAGCTATTGTGACCCTGCGACTAAGGACTTGGCATTGGGATATATGTAGAAGTGATATGTACAATTTCTAGGAAATGTGCTTAGAGAGAAAACATATCTTTCATTCTCCTTTCCTTCTTCCCATTAGCTGGAATTTGGGTATGACAGCTAAAGCTTGATTAGCCACTTTGAACCATGAGGTAGAATCAAAAAACATAAGCCTGCACTCCTGCTAACCAAGTGGCCACCATACCATGTCTTTGACTTTACATAAGAGAAATAAAACTCTTTTTTAAATTACTAGTATTCTTGGTTTTCTATTACTTGCAAACAAACCTCATCCCAACTGTTACACACACACAAGGTATTTAGCACAGAGATTAAGAGTGTGGTGACTTGTTGGCTTCTCCCAAGAGACTAAGTTCTGTAGAGGCAGAAAACAGAATACATGTAATCCATGGCATACACCCTACATGTCTTTCCCCCGTCTCAACACACACACACACACAAACCACAACTCACATATACTCTGGTCAGTAAATGCAATTCCCATTCCACTCTTACCTTTTTCCTTAAACTCAATTTTTCTTTTCCTTTTTTTTTTGAGGCAGAGTTTCCCTCTGTCACCCAGGCTGGAGTACAATGGCCCGATCTTGGCTCACTGAGAACTCCACCTCATGCCTCAGCCTCCCGAGTAGCTGGGACTACAGGCATATGCCACCACGCCTGGATAATTTTTGTATTTTTAGTAGAGACGGGGTTTCACCATGTTGCCCAGGCTGGTCTCAAACTCCTGGCCTCATGTAATCTGCATGCCTCAGCCTCCCAAAGTGCTGGGATTACAGGCATGAGCCACCATGCCTGGCATAAACTCTATTTTTCATCATCAATCCCCTCCTCTTGGAAACTAAACTGAGACACCTTGAGAAAGAAAATCACCTAAAAATCGACAGTGTTAAAATAAAGAATGTTCGTCAATAAAAAACAATGTCCCCCGAACAGATCTAATATAATGTTATCATCAGATATGAAAAAATAATTTGAATATAATGACATTTTTATACATATAAAATTTGTATGTATATGTATAGAACTATTACACGTAGCCACCAGGCACAGTGGCTCACGCCTATAATCCCAGCACTTTGGGAGGCTGAGGCGGGCAGATCACGAGGTCAGGAGATCGAGACCAACCTGGCTAACACGGTGAAACCCCATCTCTACTAAAAATACAAAAAATCAGCCGGGCATGGTGGCGGGCACCTGTAGTCCCAGCTACTCAGGAGGCTGAGGCAGGAGAATGGCAAGAACCTGGGAGGTGGAGCTTGCAGTGAGCCGAGATCCCGCCACTGCACTCCAGCCTGGGTGACAGAGCAAGACTCCACCTCAAAAAAAAAAAAAAAAAATACTATTACACATAGCCATAGATAGGCCACATGTGACTGCATGAAATGAAAAAGTTCCCAAGAGCTCTATAATTTTAAGATTCTAAAATTTTTTTATTCAAATAACAAGATACAAGTTTTCAGGAAATAAAAAAGAGCTATAACTCAACTGAAAAGCAAATTGGAACAATAACTCAATTATCCAAATGTATAAAATTTAAATATAAGTCCAGTTATGTAGACTGCAAAACAAACACTTTGTTTTTAAATTCTCCTTTTCAATACCTTCACATGCAAACTATAACATAAGGTTCTTTTTACCTTTGATTTCATTTTTTGGGTATACCCAAAACGCAAACATTTGAGTATTTAACCCATATATAAATCTGCTATAGCATCCAACTTCATTCTTCATTAAGTAAATAAAACATCAAGTCCTCCTTGATATGATTTGGCTGTGTCCCCACCCAAAATCTCATCTTGAATTATAATCCCCATAATCCTCACGTGTCAAGAGAGACAAGGTGGAGGGAACTGAGTCATGGGGGCGGTTTCCCCCATGCTGGTACTCGTGATAGTGAGTGAGCTCTCACGAGATCTGATGGTTTTATAAGTGTTTGGTAGTTTCTCCTGCGTTCATTCTCCCCTCTGCTGCCTTGTGAAAAAGATGCCTTGCTTTCCCTTTGCCTTCTGCCATCATTGTAAGTTTCCTGAGGCCTCCCCAGCCATGCAGAACTGTGAGTCAATTAAACCTCTTTCCTTTCTAGATTACCCAGTCTCAGGCAGCTCTTTATAGCAGTGTGAGAACAAACTAGTACACCTCCAATATGCTAAATTTCTTTAAAAATACAAATACCAATGTATAAAACAGAATCAAGAAATATACTGCAACATTACCTGTGCACCAAGATCCTTCATGTAGGGTCCAAGTTCACTAAACAGATCATATCCTTGATGAAAGAAGGCCAAATGGGCATACATAAATGACAACATCTAATAGGGAAAAAAAGATGACCATTTTAAAATCTATTCCTAGATAGACATTCTGAAATATTACATATATATATAAAAATATATAAAAGACAGGGTCTTGCTCTGTTTGCTCTGTCGCCCAGACCTGGCATGCAGTGGCATGGACACAGTTCACTGCAACCTGGACCTCCCAGGCTCAGGTGATTCTCCCACTTCAGCCTCCTAAATAGCTGGGACCACAGGCATGTGCCACTATGCTCAGCTAATTTTTTTATTTTTGTAGAGACAAAGTCTCGCCATGTTACCCAGGCTGATCTCAAACTCCTGGGTTCAAGCAATCCTCCCACTTCCGCCTCCAAAAGTCCTGGGATTATAGGCGTGAGCCACCATGCCCAGCTCACCAAATCTATTTGAAAATTAAACTGAGTCATCTGTTTTAAAAGTGTATTTCAAAAATATTTTCAAATACAATGAAAATAAATTTTATTTAAAAGAAATTTCCCAGTGGTTTAACATTTTTAAAATGCTCAAAATTTTAGTTGTTTAGACTATATCTAGGTGATCAAAATGTATACAGCAGATTCAAATAATCCAATTTTCAATAACTCTACTATCTTCCTAGGTCCATTATAAAGTATTTATGTGCTCCTTCAACCAAGCTCACTGACAAACTTTAAATTGCAAAAAAGACAAAAAGATAAGAGAAATATAAAGTGCTCAAAATAAAACACAAACGCTTTACAATCTACGAGAGCACAAGCATAACCTAAAGTAGGAGAACGCTGGGTTTTTCTCTCAAGATACCAAAATAAAATGAGTCAACCGAATTTGCCAACATGGAAGTTTCTTTACATTCATTCCACAAATCTAAAAAGCTGACATTAATGGGCAGAGATTTGTCCAAGTTTTCCTATATCTTACCTATTTTAAAGAGAAAAATCACCCTCATTTTAATTAAGTTTTTACATGGAAGGAATTACATAATTAAATGAATAATACTGAAAAAATATTCTAAACATCCATATTATTTTCAACAAGTGGCATCTGTTCAATTTTCTGACGTCTAAAACAGGTCATAAAGTCCTTAATACTCAAAAATCCTCCAAAAAAAACTATTTTCAAAAAAAAAAAAACCATTAAAACACAGAGGCAAAAGGATAAAACTCAGAAGAGGAAAATTATTCTGGAATTAGATAATAGTGATCATTGAACAAATTTGTGAATAAAAACCAATAAATTATTTTAAAAATTGATTAAAAATTTAAAAAGAGGGATGGGATTAATAGCTAGGACTACATAAAAATATAAAATATGCCTGTACATCAAAATGCAAAACAAGCATATTAAAAGACAAATGATAAACTAGGGAAAAACCCATGACAAAGAGTTAACAGACTTAAGATGTAAGAGATGTTATAAATCAACATGAAAAAGATGAACACTCCAACAGAAAAAGAGACAAAGGACATATGAGGTACATAAGTGGCCAAAAAACACGGAAAAATGTTCAAACTCATTTGTATTAACAAAACGCAAAACTGAATAATGAGATCATGCTTTCTATCCAACAAACTAGGGGCAGCATGGGGGAAAAACTGCAATGCTCAGTGTTGGTAAAATGTGGAGAAATATCCATTTTCACACAATATTAGGGGAAATATTGTATAACCTTTGAAATTTGATGATATTTTTCTAAAGCCTTAATCCTTTGACTATGTAATCTCTTGTTTATAAATAAATCTATCCTAAGAAAATAATAAGATTATTCATTAGAATGATCAGGACAATGCTATGTTCTAAGGTCAAAAACAAGGAAATTATTTGAATATTCATTAATAGGTGAAATTAATTTATGGTATATTCCTTCAAGGTCAGTAAACTATGACCTGCAAACTTTATCAGGGCTCACCACCTGTTTTTTGATAGTCCATGAGCTACGAATGGTTTTTACATCTTTAAATGATTTAAAGGCAATGAAAATATATGAAATTTATGATATGTGAAAATTATATGAAATTCAAATTTCTGTGTTTATAAATAAAGTTTTATTGGAACACAGTCATAGCCATTCATTTACATACTGTCTCTCTCATTATAATAGCACAGTTGAATAATTCCAACAGAGACCATGAGGCCTGTAAAACCTACCATATTTACTACCAGGACTTTTACAAAAAACATGTGCCAACCCCTAGAATATTCAGGTGGTAGAATTCTACCTGGCCACAAAAGCCATCATTAAATAAAGGATATTTAATGACATATAACTTTGCAGTGTATTAGTGAAAAAAGAAAGTTATAAAATAGTATGTAGGAATGATTCCCATTAAAAAATTAAATGTGATTTTAAAAGGCATATATTCAAGTTCATGCACACACACATGCACACACACAGAAAGAGAGAAAAAGACAAAGATGTATGCCAAGATATGAATAGTGGCTTCCCCTTGGTAGCAGAATTTCTAAGTAGTTTTTATTTTTCTTCATACACATTCTAATTTTCTACAATTAATACACATTACTGTCAATCTCGAAAACAAGTGGGGTATAAATATTATCTTTTAGAAAACAGGAAGTACAATGTGTTTACCTGATAAGATATAACACAAATATATACATAAAATTTAGAAAAAAGCTAGGTGGGGACAAGAATCTAAGGCAACTTAAGCATAGCCTTTTGGGGAAAAAGTAAGTCAGTAAGTAATTCAGAGTTGAGAGATTATTACTAAGGTTATCAAAATATAAAGAGTGCTATGCCATACCACATCATGCCCTGCCCACTTCGTTGGCTTTTTTTTTTTTTTTTTTTTTTTTTGAGACAGAGTTTCACTCTTGTCACCTAGGCTGGAGTACAATGGCGCGATTTCGGCTCACTGCAACCTCTGCCTCCCGGGTTCAAGCAATTCCCCTGCCTCAGCCTCCCGAAGTAGCTGGGATTACAGGCACCCGCCACCACACCCAGCTAATTTTTTTGTATTTTTAGTTCAGATGGGGTTTCACCATGTTGGCCAGGCTGATCTCGAACTCCTGACCTCAGGTGATCCACCCGCCTCAGCCTCCCAAAGTGCTGGGATTACAGGCATGAGCCACCACACCCGGCCTTCGTTAGCTTTAAGACCAAAAATAGGGCTCCCCACCGCAAAAAAAAAAAAAAATTCATTGTCAAGTGGGTGAAGAGGCTCAAGGAAAAAAGTGATCCCCAAATTTCATCCCACTGGTTTTGTAACTGCATACGGAAGAACAAACCAAAAGACTGACCCACCATCAACTTTAAGGGAAAAATTCTCCAAATGATACTATTCATATAAATCCTCAATCTCAAATATTTTTGAAGTCCAAATAATGCCAAAAATTATAGAGAAAAATGTAAATATGTTGAAAGAGGCTGGGAAAAAAATTTTAAAGCAAAACAAGTAAGAAAAAATTAAAAACCTAAGTGTAACAGTTTTTTATGTTGATAACTTTCAAAACAAATTCTGAAATATTCTCACAGGTTTTTATACCAAACATTTTTAGTTATTCACCAAATGGTACTGGGCATCTAGTGCATGTAAAGCAACATATGAGGATAAAAGAAAACAAAAACATAACAGTATAGAGTCTACCTTTATGGACCTCACAGTGTATCAACAGATGAGACACACAAACAACTGTAACATGAAGGAGACAAAAAGAAGTCCAGTGCCACATAAGAAACACAAATGAAGATCAAAAAGAAGAGCAATTATAAACCTTATCATGTATATAGCAGATGCTCTTTCAACACCTAAATACGTACATTTAGTTTCATATTAAAATATTTAAAACATCATTTCAATTAATGTCTTACTGATTTTAGGATTTCTGATCTCCTTTTTGATTGAAGAACATTAATCTGAGGGAAAACACACGTGGTTAATCACCCATGCATTATTTTAAAGCTAATCCATAATGCAATATTGTAAAGCTTATTTTAATGGTTTAATACTTTTCGAAAAAGCAAATAAAAACAAAGCTCAAGCTTTTTCATCCTTCAACTATCCTTTTGCAAAACACAGTTAAGACAAACATTCCAGTGAAATTCTCGTACATTTCTGAGCTAAAAGAAAAACTGGTTATTTAACCGATATTAGAGTGATGGAACTATTTTGACATCTGAAGCTCTGGGAATTCCATCTTTTTCCCACCCTCTTTATCTAATTGCTCATCAAAGTTTCACATACAACCTAAATGTAAATTCTCAGCACTTTACCACTACCACCATCATGTCTTTTCCAGACTGCTGCAATAGGCTATGAATTAGTCTCTTCTCTGCTTCCATTCTTGACTCCCTACAATCCATTATACACACGGCAACCAGTCATCTTTTTTTTTTTTTTTTTTTGACACAGAGTTTTGCTCTTATTGCGCAGGCTGCAGTGCAATGGCACAATCTCAGCTCACTGCAACCTCTGCCTTCTGGGTTTAAGAAATTCTCCTGCCTCAGCCTCCCGAGTAGCTGGGATTACCGGCTTGTGCCACCACGCTCGGCTAATTTTTTCTATTTAGTAGAGACGGGGTTTCTCCATGTTGGTCGGGCTGGTCTTAACTCCTGACCTCAAGTGATCCACCCGCCTTGGCCTCCCAAAGTGCTGGAACTACAGGCGTGAGCCACTGCGCCAGGCCCATCTTAAAAAATTATAAATAAGATCATGTTACCTCTACCTTAACACCCTCCAACTTCCTACCATGGCCGGCAAGGCCCAGTGTGATGTGGCCCCTACCTACCTTACCTCTTCGACCTAGTTTTCTATTACCTTCCCACTTTCTGTACTCCGACCTGAGCCCGGGGCCACTCCCACCTCAACCTGAGCCCGGGGCCACTCCCACCTCAACCTGAGCCTGGGGCCACTCCCACCTCAATGCCTTTGCACTGGCTGTTCTGTGCACACGCCATGATGTTCCGCCCAGATGGGTATCAGGCTATCTCCTACCAATCAGGTCTCAAATACCATCTCCTCACAAAGGTCTATGCTAGCTTCTTACGTACTGTCTAGTACATCAACCTCATTTATTTTACTCAGAACATTTATAACTACCTTATATTTTCTGATTTGTGTCTTCTCCCTAACCGAAGTGTAAATTCTAGTGAGACCAGGGTCTTTGCCTTATTCCCAGCTGTAGTGGCACACACTAAGCACTCAATAAATATTTCTTAAATAAATTAACAGGTTTTGTTTTTAGAGACAGAGTCTCACTCTGTTGCCCACCCTGGCCGGAGTGCAGTGGCATGATCAGATCTCACTGCAGCCTCGAACTCCTGGGCACACAATCCTCCTGCCTTAGCCCCCAGCAATGCTCCCATCTCAGCTTCCCGAGTAGCTGGGTAGCTGGGACTACAGGTGCACACCACCAGACCTGGCTAACTTTTTTTACTTTTTGTAGAGACAGGTTCTCACTGTGTTGCACAGTCTGGTCTCAAACTCCTCGCTTCAAGCAATCCTCCTGCCTTGGCCTCCCAAAGCACTGGGATTACAGGAATGAGCCCCTGCACCCGGCCAGATTTTAAGTAAATGTTTTAATTAGACTAAATTTACTGAAAGATCAATAAATTAAAAGATTTGCCTTTTAGAGGATCTCTCCCAACTCCAGAAATTCACAACAAACATTTTATTTTTGTCTGTTATTATCTATCAGCTTAATGAAATGTTTAAAAAAAGAATCATTCACTCTTTGCCAATACTGTCAAAAGATTATACAATATCTTTTTAATATGTCCTTCCCACTGAATTCTGTATTTTATCAAATAATTTTAAAGCACTAAATTAAAAAAAAAAACAGAACAAGAAAAATCTAAGTAACTTTACTTAACCATAAGACTAGTTTCTGGCTGGGTGAGGTGGCTCACGCCTGTAATCCTTGCACTTTGGGAGGCTGAGGTGGGCAGATCGCTTGAGATTAGGAGTTTGAGATCAGCCTGGCCAACATGGTGAAACCCCATCTCTACTAAAAATACAAAAATTAGCCAGGCATGGTGGTGGGCGCCTGTAATCCCAGCTACTCGGCAGGCTGAGGCAGGAGAATCACTTAAACCCTGGAGGCGGAGGTTGCAGTGAGCTGGGATCGCACCACTGCACTCCAGCCTGGGCGACACAGCAAGACTCCTTCTCAAAAAAACAAAAACAGAAACAAAAGACTAGTTTCTTCTGCATGTATTTCAAAGCCTATTCAGTTTAGAGAACTACAATATTCACTTTCAAATGCTCTAAGTAAAGAAGAAGCTGCAAATAGCCTACTACTCAAACACTGAATAATGTTAAAATGCCTGTTTGATATGTCTTTTTTTCTATTTGAAAAAATTAAGTGCTATATAAAATTTTTAAATTTAAATGTTATATATAAAAATAAAATGCTATATAAAATAGGATTTTTATATTATATAATATTTAAATTATATAGCATTTAAATTATTGGAGGAAAAAAGTAAACTCAAATATTTAGAGTAGTTAAAAGCAAGACAAACTTTATACATTTGGATATCTATTACTTACTACTCTCTAAAGTAGACATAAATGAAATAAAGGCCATAAAATGATACAATAATTCCCATCAGAAAAATCAAACAAACTAATAGTTATTTGTTGGGGGTGGTGGGCATGAGGAGGCAGTGTGAGGATTCCTAACTTACATATGGACATCCAAGAAAATAATGTGTAAGTTTAAAAATAATGAAAATTTTAGCTAATCCTCCCAGTATAAAATTTGTAACATTAAGCCGTTCACTCTCTCAAAAAACATTTACTACATATCTATTTTCTAACCACTGGACTAGAGGCTAGGGATACAATCTAGAAATAGAAAAAATATATAAATAAATATTTACAATAAATGCGTAAGTAGTCTAACTGCAATGTGTACAAAAATACGGCAACACAGAGAAGGCAGAGGCAAAAATTATTCCTTCTGGCCTGGAGAAGTCTGAGTAACCCGGATCACAAAACAGAGAGTGAATTAGTGACAGGGCAGGTAAAAGCAATGCAAGGCAGACCAATTTCATGAGAAGACTTTAATACTCCAGACAAGAAACAGTAAGACTTAGGGCTGCAGCAAAGGTGAAGAAAGAACCAATTTAAGAGGTACACAGGAGGAATTTTCAAGACATTTTGGCAACTAGATATACTGGCTTACAATGAGGAGAATATCTGATATAATTCTCTCATTTCGAACTTCTATGAGAGTAAAAAAGTGACACCATTCAATTAGATAAGGGCAAAAGGGAAAGAGAAGCCATTTTGGAAGATAAGAGATTTCAGTTTTGAATACAATGAGAACAAAGTACCTCTGGGGAAAAAACATTTGGTCATCTACCTATAATAACAGGTGGTGATTCAAGCAAGGGGCATGATGAGACTGACAGAAAACAATAAAGTAAGAAAAGAAAAGAATAAAACCAAAGATGAAACCCTAAAAAGGAGAGTGAAAAGGCAGACAAAGGAGTGAAGCCCAAGACAGAAATGGAAAAGAAATAGAAGTTGGGAGGAAGACCTAAAAGCAGTTTCAGATAAATCAAGATAAAAGAATGTTTCAAGAAGGAGAGTGTGGTCCACCACTGCAGTAAAACAGAATAGTCAAGTTGGTTAAAAACTGAAATACGTCTAGTGAATAAAACCTCTGCATGAGCCATTTCAGTGGGTTAGGCAGGGTGAGTACCCTGTAGTGTGGGTACACTACAGCAGAAAATGGTATAATGTGAGGTAGGTAACAGGACCCAGGAAATACACTACTCCAGTCCAGTATCCTTTCCTCCAAAAGTACAGTCTATTCATCTTAAAAATTTAACTTCCCACTTACTGAACAGGAACTTAATAGAAAAAAAACTTAAAGTTAATTTTCTATTGTTTTGCCAAGTTACCTAAGTAATTTTTAATCACTAATTTCTATTTGGTTACTTGTATTTTTTCTTAAGAAATATTCTGTGATCATTGTGAAGTAAACAATCTCTGAGGACAACCACTATTGTTTTGTAAAAGGAGATTTATATAAGGTAATTCCCTAAGCATTAAAGTTTTTTTAGGCTTTAAATTCCATGATATATAGAAACACGCAATATAATATGCCTTCATTTCTCATGTCTCAAATACCTTTGGAGACCTATCACTTTCAGCTATAAATTAGACTGGAAGATCACCAACACCAAGCAACTTACCAAATACAGATTTCTAGTTTTTGGGTTTTTTCGTTTGTTTGTTTTATTGTGTGGGTTTTTTTTTTTTTTTTTTTTTGAGACGGAGTCTCGCTCTGTCACCCAGGCTGGAGTGCAGTGGTGCGATCTCAGCTCACTGCAAGCTCCGCCTCCTGGGTTCACGCCATTCTCCTGCCTCAGCCTCCCGAGTAGCTGGGACTGCAGGCGCCCGCCACCACGCCCAGCTAATTTTTTGTATTTTTAGTAGAGACGGGGTTTCGCCGTGTTAGCCAGGATGGTCTCAATCTCCTGACTTGTGATCCACCCGTCTTGGCCTCCCAAAGTGCTGGGATGACAGGCGTGAGCCACTGCGCCTGGCCCAGATTTCTAGTTTTTAAAAACAGCACCTAAAGCAAAAATATGATAACACTACTTCTAGAAAGATTTTTCATTTGGCAATATGGTGAACCTTAGTACCTCTAAGAATCTAATCTAAAGAAATAAGAAGTGTAAAGATGTTATTATCACTCACAATTATTGAAAATTATATTTTCCCTATTGTCAGTAAAAACTTGAACACCACAAATGTCTGTTACAGCAACTTAGAAGGAACTAGGGGCCCTTATCCTAAAGGAAGTAACACAGGAACAGAAAACCAAATGCCGTGTGTTGTCACCTATAAGTAGGAGCTAAGTTATAGGTTCTCAGGGGCATACAGAGTGGTGTAATGTGCACTGGAGACTCAGAAAGGGGGGAAGGTGGGAGGGAGGTGATGGATGAAAAATTTCCTGTTGGGTACAATGTATACTACTGGAGTGACAGATACAATAAAAGCCCACACTTCACCACTATGCAATTCACCATGTGACCAAAAACCCACTTGTACCCCTAAACTTATTGAAATAATAAAATGGTATAATAAAAGATAGTTAAATTGACATAACAACTCCAGAGAATAACATATAGCAACTAAAAATGCTTTTTAACATTTTAAAATGGGAAATATAATGTTAAGAGAAAAGAGGCAGAACTCAGAACCAAAGGAATATATATCCATACACACACAGGTACACTAATAGCTACACAGATGGAAATTTTCCACCTAAGATTATGTTTTAACTTTAAGTTCAGAGTAAAAGTATTTATTCTTCTTAGGGCGATCACTCAAAAGTAACAACCTGTTTAAGTAAGCACTGTCTGAAAACATACACAGTAAGAAACTATATACCTGAAGCACATAATCGAGGGCTATGTGTCGGAAACATTTTCTTGTTGCTGTCAGAATGTTGGTGGCTTCTTCAACTTCATGTTGTTTGTTTCTTTGTACTTGGGCATTTTTTACTAACGCATTTTCTTTTTCTTCACTGACTTTTTCGAATTGCTTCTTGGCATCTTTGAATTTTCTAAGATCTCTAAGAAAAGAAAAACTTAGTGAAACTTTTATAACTTGCTTCATTAAAAAACTTTAGCAGGCTGGGCGCGGTGGCTCACACCTGTAATCCCAGCACTTTGGGAGGCCGAGGTGGGTGGATCATGAGGTCAAGAGATCGAGACCATCCTGGCCAACATGGTGAAACCCCATCTCTACTAAAAATACAAAAAAATTAGCTGGTCATGGTGGCATGTGCCTGTAGTCCCAGTTACTCAGGAGGCTGAGGCAGGACAATCACTTGAATATGGGAGGCGGAGGTTGCAGTGAGTTGAGATCACACCACTATACTCCAGCCTGGTGACAGAGCAAGACTCCGACTCAAAAAAAAAAAAAAATTAGCAAAATAACATTTAGAATTGAATTCCTATGTTCCTCCATTTTTTGTTTCACCTCACATTGAAACACATTCACTCTTCAAACTAAAATATGTATTGTTTCTCAATTTTGTATAAATCCTGATAAAGTCAGCTAAAATTTCATTATTTAAATCTACATAACTTGAGATGACAATAAATTATCTAATTAACATTACAGAAACATAAAGTTAATTGTTTTTCTAAAGACAAATTCAGGGACATGTACCATTATTTAACCAAACGATTTTTAAACGGTAGTATACATAAGAATCTCTACAGGGCACTGGTTAAAAATGCAAATTCCAGAGCCCTTTCCGAGAGATTATGATTCTTTAGCCCTCGAGAAAAATCCTAGAAATCTGAGGAGTATTTTTTAAGACACGTCCTTGATTTTACTACCATGGGTGGTCTACAGATCACACTCTAAGAAACAACATTGATTTCTCATGCTGTGGCATGATCATAGCTCACTGCAGCCTTAAAGTCCTGGGCTCAAGCGATCCTCACACCTCATGCCTTTCAAGCAGCTGGGACGACAGGCACATGCCACCACACAAGGCTAATTTTTATTTTTTATTTCTGTGGTCTCACATTATTGCCCAGGCTGGAACACATCAATTTCTGAAAGAATCGTTACATCAGCAATGAATAACAGTATCCCTTTTAATAGTCTGAAAATCTGAAACACTTGGTTCATTAATGATCTTAGTCACATAACATCCCTTTGCTTTTATTTTTCTACTAGGGAGCTAGGTAAAATAACTTGAAGACAAATGATTTTATAAAAACCATAATAAAGTATATGTAAGAAAGACATTCAACTCCTTGAAAGATGCCATAAACTGTTATGTGTGCATTCTATGAAGACATTCTGAGTGTTCATCACAAAGTAATTTATAAAGAATTTGGTTGGGTGCCTGTAATCCCAGTGCTTTGGGAGGTTAAGGTAAGAAAACTGCTTTGAGGCCAGGAGTTTGAGACTAGCCTCAGCAACATAGTGAGACTTGCCTCTACAAATAATAAAAAATAAAAGATAAATTAGCCAGAAGTGGTGGTCCACGCCTGTAGTCCTAACTACTCAGGAGGCTGAGGTGGGAGGATCACTTCAGCCCAGGAATTCGAGGTTACAGTGAGTTATTATCAAGCCACTGTACTCCAGCCTGGGTAACAGAGTCAGACCCTGTCTCTATATTTAAAAAAGAAAAAAACAAAAGAAAAGAAACTGTAATACATAACCTCCAGAACAACAAATTCTAACCTATTAAAACAGTGTACTATCTTAATGAGATCTAACACCACTGTACAGCTCTATTATAATAAACTTTAATTTTATATATTCCCAGCCAGGAATCAAAAGAGAAAAACCTGTATTATTAATGTGAAAAAGAAAAACTTTCCTAATATGGAAATCTCTGATTTTTAAAATTTCTAGTTCTATTTTATTTCACAAAGAAAATGTGAGGTGACACAAAATACTCGTAAGTCACAAAAATCATGTACTTTTTTTTTTTTTGAGTTTCACTCTTGTTGCCCAGGCTGGAGTGCGATGGCGCGATCTCAGCTCACTGCAACCTCCACCTCCCAGGTTCAAGCGATTCTCCTGCCTCAGTCTCCCGAGTAGCTGGGATTACAGGCATGCACCACCCCGCCCCGCTAATTTTGTATTTTTAGTAGAGACGGGGTTTCTCCATCTTGGCCAGGCTGGTCTCGCCGCCTGACCTCAGGTGATCCACCCGCCTCAGTCTCCCAAAGTGCTGGGATTACAGGCGTGAGCCACTGCGCCCCGGCCCAAAAATCATGTACTTTCATGGCTCATTCTCGTATATTCCATTATCTTCTCTTCAAAGAAAATACCACATTGAAACAATGGAAAACACAGTTTCAACTACAATAACTAATAGTATTTCAACCACTTTTGGGGTTTGCTTTGATGGTGAAAGAACAATTAGATTATTTACATTAAAAATATTTTTTAAACCTATAGCTACATATCCTAGCCAAGTATCTTCCAGAACACGTATTTGTGGAATAAGTGATTCACTGAAAGACATCAAGTCTAATTTACTTATAGAGTAATTTAGGAAGAAATGCAGCATGCATTTCACAAAGCAAACAAAATGTCAATATTTTCAATAATTCATGGTATATAACTTCTTCCAAAAGATACGAATTCTCAGATTGATCATTAACTAGTTAATTTTCTTTCCTCTTCACCGCAATTGACTTACTCTTTAACAAAGTTCTGAAGCTGTGCCTTAATTGATCTCTGAGTTTGGTCAAACAGGATCTAAAAAATAAAATGTAATATTAAGTGATTAGAAAAGTAAACAAAATAATTTTCTTATCGTGCTATAAATACCACATCCCTCCATCAATTCTTCAATTCTAATACCGTCTATATCTCTTCTTGAAGACTACAAAAGAAATAACCATTTAAAAATAGAACCCAAAACAGATTAAGCCAATTTCATCTCTCAGAAATAAAATTACTTCTATTTACAGAAGAAAACAAATCTGCTTTAATATTTAAATAGAATGCTCAAACAATGGAGCAACATAGTTCCTTAATTCAAATTCAGGCTTTGGAAGACAACCTAAAACAGTAATACAAATTCCACTCCATACATTACAGAAATTATTTACTCCAATATATCACAGCATACCAAATGAAAACAGCTCCAGAAACGCCATATACCTTAGTTGAGGTAGAGGTTACTCATTGGGGAAGACGTGGGGACTTAAATGAATATTTTAAATTCAAATAAACATTATATCATCCTTTAGGTTAAATAACTGCTAACAGTAGAGACAAGAGTAAAATTTTATTCCTCCAGATAGTATTTTGCCCAACTTAAATGATGCCATATATTTAACACAGATGGCTCTGTGTATGATAAACATCAAAATGCTTATCGTGGGGATTCCACCTTTAATAATTTACAGATATACTTCATTCAGAGTTTGAAATAAAGTTAGATGAACAGGCAGAAATATCAATATCCAAAAGAAAATCCTCCATTCTTTTACTAATTGAAAACAATACCACAATTTCATTATCTCTGAAGCTCTGTCTTCTGTTTTCTCCTGAATACTACATACACACATTCCCCAGGAATCTGGACTTTTCAAAATCTGTCAATTTACTTCCAGAGAGAAATTTAATTTTGTCTGTATTATGTTAAACTCAAAGTACTAAACCCAAAGTAAGCAGAAGAAAGAAAATAATAAAGATTAGAGTAGAAGTCAACTAAACAGAAAATAGAAAGTTAATAGAGAAAAATCAAAGAATCAAAAAATTTGGTTCTTAGCGAATATTATAAAATTGATAAACCTCTAACCACAGTGATCAGAAAGAAGACGCAAATTTCAAACATTAAGAAGGAGAGACGCATCTTTATCATTGATTGTATATATATTAAAAAGGTAATCTGTGAAGCTAAGAAACAACTGTAGGCCTGCAAATTCAACAGACGAAATGGACAAATTTTGTGAAAGACAAAAACTCAATCAAGGCTCAGTCAAGAAGAAACTGATACCCTGAACACAGCTTAAAAGACAGAGTCTATAGTTTAAAACCTTCCATATCATATAAAGTTAAAATTACATGAACATGAAATATAACAATCCCAATCCTAGGTATGTGGCCAAATGAAATTAAAACTTATGTTCACACAAAAACCTGTACTCAAATGTTTATAGCAGTTTCATTCCTAATTGCCAAAATATAGAAAATACCCAAATGTCTTTCAACCAGTGAATATAGAAACAAACTATGATACATTCAAACAGCAATAAAAAAGAATGATTATTAATACATGCAACAACACAGGTGAATCTCAATGCATTTTGCTAAGTGAAACAAAATTTGTAGGGCATTCAGGAAAGTGCAAGACTGAGGGGATGAAAAATCAGCGATTTCCACTGATAGGAGGAGGATGGAAGGGTTAATAATGGGGCAACATGAGGGCTTCTGGGGAGTTGATGGAACTGTTGTGCATCTTGATTTTGGTGTGGAGACCCAACTGTATGCATCTGTCAAAACCCATGAAGTTATATGCCACAAAAAAAAATCAATTTTGTTATATTTAAATTTAAAAATAACTTTAAAATATGAAGAATGACAGTGTAAATATTAAACAATAGATTTTTAAATGAATTAAGAAGAAACAAATAGCATATTAACAGGTTGATTGAAAGGACAGAGAAACATAAAACCAACGAAAAGAGAACATCCAATCTTCTCAGGAACACTAACAACATTTAAGAAAATTGACCATATAGTAGGGCATCAAGCAACAATATGACATTATATTAAGTTACACTACAAAGTATTAAAAAGAGAGAACTACTGAAACAGGGAACAATACCGATCTCAAAAATGTTATTCCAAGCAAAAGAAGTCACACATACACACACAGACACACATACATGCAATATGATTCCATTTATATGAAGTTATAGAAAAAGCATAACTACTTTATGGAAGAAAATCAGAACAGGACTTGCCTTTGGAGGTGTGGGTTGGGACTGTCTGAGAAGTGGTATGGGAGAACTTTCTGGATAACGGTAATGATCCATATCTTAAAAAGGATTTGACTTACATAAGTGGATGGGCTTGCCAAAATTAACTTAAACATACAAATAGGGTTTTTGCATTTAACTGTATTTAAACTTGACCTCAAGAAATAAAATCAGGGCCAGGCATGGTGGCTTATCCCTATAATCCCATTACTTTGGGAGCCCAAGGTTGGAGGATCCCATGAGGCCAGGAGTTCAAGATTAGCCTGGGCAACATGGCAAGACCCATCTCTCTATATATATACATTTTCAAATGAGCCAAGCATGGTGGCACACACTTGTAGTCCTAACTATTCAAGAGACTAAGGCAAGAGAATCACTTGAGCCCAGGAGTTCAAGGTTGCAGTGAGCTGTGATCACGCCACTGCACTGCACTCTAGCCCGAGCAACAGAGTAAGATCCTATCTCGAAAGAAAAGAAGAAAAGAAAAGAAAAAAGAAAACTTGTAAAAAAAAAAACCTAAACCTGGGAATGTATTTGAGAAAGAAATGTTCTTTTGTCTATAAATTATTTTTAAATGCATTAATAATATTGAGGCATGGATAGAGGGAAGGATAAATGAATAGATATGTGATAAAGCAAATGCAGCATAATATACCTTTGGGGTGAGTATATGGATGTCAACTGTAAAGCTGTTTCAACTTCTAATTATAAAATATCAGAAAGAAATGGCACACATACCTTAAAAAATAAAAAGGAAAACACATCCTACAAAGAAAATACATTAAAAATTAAAAATAAATAAAAAGAAAAAATGTGAAAAACTCCACAAAGATGTCTTCACATCTTCATTGCTGAATTCTACCAAACATTGAAAGGTAGAAAGAACAGTACTTCTACACAAACTCTTCAAAAAAAAAATCTATCGGAAAATCTATTCTCTGAGAAAACGGAAGAACAAAACCAAAGACACTGTAAGAAAAGAAAGCTACGAAGCAGTATCCCTCATGAATACAGATGCCAAAATTCTTAGCAATATATAGTAATGACATAAGAATACATAGGAAGGAAAATACATCATGACCGACTGGGATATATTCCAGGAATGAAAGATGGATTTAACATTCAAAAAAATCAACATAATTCACCATGTTAACAGACTTAAAAAACAAACTGTATGACAGACACAAAAAAGCACTGCAACAAAAATCTTCCCTTCCTGATTTTTAAAAACTCTCAGGAATATAGACATATAAGGTACCTTCCTTGGCGTAATAAAGGGGACATATGAAAAATCTGTATCTAACATCCTGGCTAGTGGCAAAAGGCTACTTTCACCCTCAGATCAGGACCAAGGCCAGGAATGCCTACTCATCACTTCTATTCAACATTACACTAGAAATTCTAGCAATGCAATCATACAAGAAATAAAAAGCATACAGATTAGAAAGGAAGAATATAAAATTGTCTTTATCCACAGATGATGTGATCAGCTCTATAGATAACACTATGGAACCTGCAAAAAAAAAACTGCTAAAATTAATAAGTGAGTTTAAGAAGGCTGTAGAAACAAAGTCAAAATACAAAAATCAGTTGTATTTCTAAGACCAGCAATGAACAAATAGAAACTGAACATTAAAAAAAAAATACTGGCCAGGCGCTGTGGCTCACGCCTGTAATCCCAGCACTTTGGGAGGCCAAAGCGGGCAGATCACCTGAGGTCGGGAGTTTGAGACCAGCCTGACCAACAGGGAGAAACCCCGTCTCTACTAAAAATACAAAATCAGCCGGGCGTGGTGGCACATCCCTGTAATCCCAGCTACTTGGGAGGCTGAGGCAGGAGAATCGCTTGAACCCGGGAGGCAGAGCTTGCAGTGAACCGAGATCACGCCATTGCCCCTCCAGCCTGAGCAACAGGAGCGAAACTCCATCTGAAAACAAACAAACAAAAAAAGCCATTTATAATAACAAATAGGAAATGCTTAAGGATGAATTTGACAAAAAATATGCAAGACTTGCACAGTGATGACTACAAAACATGCTCAGAGAAATTAAAAAAAAAAACAAATGGAGACAATCTTTCATGCTCTTCTTTTCTAATTTGGGTCCAGCAGAACGGCTCCACAAAGATGGGCGGCAAGAAGAAACATCCTGCCATCGATAAGGTGACCCGAGGGTACACCAGCAACATTCAGAAGCACATCCATGGAGTGGGCTTCAAGAAGCATGGCCCTCAGGCACTCAAAGAGATCCAGAAATTTGCCATGAAGGAGATGGGAATTCTAGATGTGCGCATTGACACCAGGCAAAACAAAGCTGTCTGGAACAAAGGAACAAGCAATATCTCATAGGATCCCATATGTGGTTTTCCAGAAAACATGATGAGGCTGAACATTCACCAAACAAGCTCTATACATTGATTACCTATGTGTCTGTCACCACTTTCAAAAATCTGTCGAAAGTCAGTGTGGACAAGAACTAACCACTGATTGTCAAATAAAGTGAGCAAATCATACACACACAAATAGACAGAATCATGGCCCTCTACTTTGAGTAACACATATACTATTCAGATTAGAAGACTTATTATTAGCAAAATGTTGATTCACCTCAAATTGATCTATACATTCAACGCAATTCCACTCCAAATCTCAGTAGAAACTGAAAAGTTGATTCTAAAAGTTATATGAAAACATAAAGGACCTAGAATAGCCAAAATAACTTTGAAAAAGAGGAAAAGAGTTAGAATACTCATACTACCTGATTTCAAGACTTACTATGAAAGCTACAGTAATCAATGAAGTATGGTACTGTATAAAGACAGGTAAAGTCTGGGTACAGTGGCTCACGTCTGTAATCCCAACAGTTTGAGAGGATCACTTGAGCCCAGGAGTTGGAGACCAGCCTTGGCAACAAAGTGAGACCCCCCAATCTCGACAAAAATTCAAAAAATTAGCCAGGGGTGTAGCATGTGCCTGTGGTCCCAGCTACTCAGGAGGCTAAGGCAGGAGGATTACTTGAGCCCAGGAGGTGGAGGCTGCAGTGAGTCATTTTCATTTCACTGCACTCTAGCCCAGAAAACAAAGCAAGACTGTCTCAGGAAAAAAAAAAAAAGAAAAAAGACAAGCAAAAAGATCAATAAAGCAGAAATTACCCACGCATATGGTCAGCTTTTATTCATTTATTTTTTTTACAAAAGGTGCCAATAAAGATGGGAAAATGTACAGAGCAAGCTGGAGAGCCACATGCAAAGAATTTAATAATAATAGAGAGGAAAAAGAACTTCAACCGTTACCACAGAACATTTATAAAATTTAACTTGAAATAGATCATAGACCTAAACTTCCACAAGAAAACATTGAAAAAAATCTTACTGAATAGGGTTAAGCAAACATTTCCTAACAGAACACAAAAGAAAACTACAAAAGAACAAAATCAATAAACTGACTTCATAAAAAAAAAGTTTGATCTTTAAAAAACACTGCTACAAAAATGAAAAAGGCAAGCCAAAGCATGGAAGAAAATATCTGCAAAACATATAACAACTCAGTAAATATGAAGATAAATCCTTTTTTTTTTTTGGGCGGGGGACAGGGTCTTGCTCTGTCGCCCAGGCTGGAGTGCAGTGGTGTGATCTCGGCTCACTGCAACCTCCGCCTCCCAGGTTCAAGTGATTCTCCTGCCTCAGCCTCCCAAGCAGCTGGGATTACAGGGGCATGCCACCACGCCAGTTAATTTTTGTACTTTTAGTAGAGACAGAGTTTCGCCATGTTGCCCAGGATGGTCATGAACTCCTGACCTCAAGTGATCCGCCCGCCTCAGCCTTCCAAAGGGCTGGGATTACAGGCGTGAGTCACCACGCCAGGCCAATAAATCCATATTTTTTCTTTTTCGTGTGTGTGTGTGTGTGTGTGTGTGTGTGTGTGTGTGTGTGTGTGACGGAGTCTTGCTCTGTCACCCTGGAGTGCAGTGGCGTGATGTCAGCTCACTGCAAGCTCCACCTCCCGGGATCACGCCATTCTCCTGCTTCAGCCTCCCCAGCAGTTGGGACCACAGGCGCCCCCCACCACCACGCCCAGCTAATTTTTTGTATTTTTAGTAGACAAAGGGTTTCACTGTGTTAGGCAGGATGGTCTGGATCTCCTGATCCGTGATCCGCCCGCATCGGCCTCCCAAAGTGCTGGGATTACAGGCGTGAGCCACCATGCCCGGCCTAAATCCATTTTTTTAATGAACAAAAGATGACACTTCACCAAAGAAGATCCATAGATGGCAAAGAAACAAAATGCTCAACATCATTACTTATTAATAAGGAAATGCAAATTAAAACCATAAACAATTTTAGAAAGTGACTATGCCAAGTGTTGCTGAGCATGTGGAACCCCTGCACTCTTGTACACTGCTGATGTAAAATAGCACAATCCACTTTGCAAAACAACATTTGTGTAGGTTTTAATTTCTTTACAGATATTAACACTTTAAAGAAATGTAAAACAGTCATGTGCCGCATAATGACATTTTGGTCAAAGACAGGCCGCACATATAACGGTGGTCCCATAAAATTATAGTACTGTATCTGTACTGTACTTTTTCTATGTTTAAATACACAAATATCTACCATTATGTTACAAATGCCTAACGTATTCATTACAGAAACATGCTGTATAGGTTTGCAGCGTAAAAGCAATAGACTACACCACGTAGCCTAGGTGTGTAGGAGGCTACACTGCCTAGGTTTGTGATAAGTACATTCTATGATACTCACACAATGAAGAAATCACCTAACAACACATTTCTCAGAATGTTTCACTGTTGTTAAATGATGCGTGACTGTATTAAAAATTAATATAAACAATAAATAAAAGAAATTAAATATTTCCTTATTTTCTCTTAGCAATGGCTTACAGTCTTCACTTTAAAAATAGTAAACATTTAAGCATAACACTATCTTACAAACTAGCCGTTTTACACCTGGCTATTCACATAAAGAAATAAAACTATATGCCTACACAGATTTTTACATGTATTTTAATAAGCATTTTTATTTGTAATAGCCAAAACCTAAAAACAACCCCAAAGTCCATTGCGGTAGCTTTAAAATATGACAACAAATTCTTTAACACTGCTTTCTTCAAAAGCAGCCCCAATTCTTTGCTCTTTGAGTGTGGGCTAGATGGAGTGACTTACTTCTAGCAAACAGTATCATGAAGAAAGTAACAATGTGTGACTGCTGAGACCAGGTTATAAAAGGCATTGAAGCTTCCAGCCAGATGCAGTGTCTCAGCACTTTGGGAGGCTGAGGCGGGCAGATCACTTGAGGTCAGGAGTTCCAGACCAGCCTGGCCAACATGGTGAAACCCCAACTCTACTAAAAATACCAAAATTAGCTGGGTGTGGTGGCGCACATCTGTAATCCTAGCTACTCAGGAGGCTGAGGCACAAGAATCGCTTCAACCTGGGAGGCGGAAGTTGCAATGAGCCAAGGTCATGCCATTCACTCCAGCCTGGATGACAGAGTGAGACTCTGTCTTTAAAAAAAAAAAAAAAAAAGGCATTGGAGCTTCCTGTTTGCCCATGCTGCTCTTGGATCACTTGTTTTAGCAGTAACCAGATTTCATGTCATAAGGACACTCAAGCATCCCTGCAAAGAGGATCCTTGGTCAGAGGACCAGAGACTGAGGCAATCTCATGAAATTCCTGAGTCAGAGTCACCCAACTAAGCCACTCCCAAATTCCTGGCCCAGAAACTGTAAGATAATACATGCATGTTGTTTCATGCCACTAAGTTTTCAAATAATCTGTTATACAGCAGTAGATAGCTAATATAACCATCCACAGGTAGATGGATTTTAAAACTTGTGATAAATCCATACAATGCAATCGTATTGAGCAATAAAAAGGGAATGAAGGACTGAAACATGCAATATAATTGGACCTCAAAATAACACTGAAGAAACTAGACTACAAAAGTCCATTTACATACAATTCTAGAAAATGCAAACAAACCAATAATGATAGCAGATTCACGACAGACTAGGAATGAGGGAAGAAGGGAGAGAAACAGAAATTACAAAGTGGCAAAGAAAAACTTTTAAAGCATGATTGTTATATTCACTAAATTATTTGTAGCGATTTCATGGAGATGTGTGGATCTCAAAAGTTATCAAATTGTATGCTGTAACTATGCAGTTTATGTCAATTATTCCTTAATAAAGTTGTTAAAAAAACATCATTATATTCCAAAGAGAAAAGCAGAACATTTTTCTCTTTTCTGCTTTTCAACTTTTTTTTAACTTTTAGGTTCAGGGGTGCATGTGCAGGATGTGGAGGTTTGTTACATAGGTAAACGGGTGTCACAGGGATTTGTTATACAGATTATTTCATCACCCAGGTATTACACCTACTATCCATTAGTTATTTTTTCTGATCCTCTCCCTCCTCCTACCCTCCCACTCCAATAAGCCACAGTATGTGTGGTTCCCCTGTATGTGTCCATGTGTTCTCATCATTTAGCTCCCCCACTTATAAATGAGAACATGTGGTATTTGGTTTTCTGTTCCTGTGTTAGTCTGCTAAGGATAATGGCCTCCAGCTCCATCCATGTTCCTGCAAAGGACATGATCTCATTCTTTTTTATGGCTGCATAGTATTCCATAGTGTATATGTACGTATGCATTTTCTTTATCCAGTCTACCACTGATGGGCATTTAGGTTGATTCCACGTCTTTGCTGTTGTGAATAGTGCTGCAATGAACATACACATACATATGTCTTTATAATAGAACTATATTCCTATGGTTATATACCCAGCAATGGTATCTCACCCAGCTGATGTGAGATGGTATATCTCATTGTGGTTTTGATTTGCACTTCTCCAATGATCAGTGATGTTGAGCTTTTTTTATATGAGTGTTAGCCACATGTATGTCTTCTTTTGAGAAATGTCTGTTCATGTCCTTTGCCTGCTTTTTAATGGGGTTGTGTTTTTCTTTATAATTTAAGTTCCTTATAAATTCTGGATATAAGAGCATTATCAGATGAATAGTTTGCAAATATTTTCTCCCGTTCTATAGGTTGTCTGTTTACTCTGCTGACAGTTTCTTTGATTGTGCAGAAACTCTTTAATTAGATCCCATTTGTCAATTTTTGCTTTTGTTGCAGTTGCTCTTAGCAACTTCATCGTGAACTCTTGGCCCATACATATATCCTGGATACTACTGCCTTTAAAATGTAACATTACCAAAATTAAATTTTCTATACACTTGAATAGAATGTCAAGTATTTCATGAAATTAGATGTCAGTAATCTAGACTATTTACTGGCTTTGTTTTGGAGACAAGAGTCTCACTCCATCACGCAGGCTGGAGTGCAATGGCATGATCTCAGCTCACTGTTACCTGTACTTCCCAGGTTCGAGCAATTCTTGCGCCTTAGCCCTCTGAGTAGCTGGGACTACAGGCATGTGCCACCATGCTCAGTTGATTTTTGTATTTTTACCAGAGACGGGGTTTCGCCATGTTGGACAGCCTGATCTCGAACTCCTGACCTCAGCCTCCCAAAGTGCTGGGATTACAGGTGTGAGCCACTGTGCCCAGCCACAATAATGTAGGCTATATACTTTTAATACTTCCATTAGTGTGAAAAGTATGTTGTCAATAAAGCAACAGTTCTGTCTCTGACTTGCCAATTCTCAAGCCACAGCTATCTAACAGCTAATTCTTTTCTTTTTCTTCTTTTTTTTTTTTTTTTTGGTAGTTATTGTTGTTCTTAAAGCCCTTCCTCATGGACAGCTAACTCTTTTCTATATTAAACTGCTACACAGAAATTCCTCAATTCATCTACTGGTATCTAAGTCTCCAGTCTATACTTTCCCAGGAGAAAATTCACACATTTTCCCATCATAAAAAGTTTAAAAGCCACCAACAGAAAAGCTAAGGTTCACTTATATTTCTGGAAATTAACAGTATTATTCCAAGCAACACATGTATTACAAATAATCAAAAATGTCAGTTGACCAATCTGCTCATTATAAAATGAACTTACAAAAGTGCATAGAATAATATATGACTCTTTAAAACCAACAGCTCACACTAAAGTTATTCCTCATACATGTATGACCACAGTTAAAGCAGCACTATCTCTGCTCTCTTCAGGAAAGGAGGAAAGCTAAGACGCACTTCAAAGATCTAGTCCAGAAAGGTTAGTAAAAGAGTAGGCTGCATAACCATAGAGAGCATTATCCCCATTTCCAGTTCTTACAAGTAAGGTGACTTTGGCTCTAAGTATACATTTTGTAGTTTCAAGTCCTTGTGATTTATTTAAATATTATTCAGGGCCAGGCAAAAGACTCCATTGCAACAAAAATTAAAAATAGAAACAAGCTGGAATGGGAGGCAGAGCAATATGGCCAAATAGAAGCCTCCACCGATTGTCCTCCCTGCAGGAACACCAAATCTGACAACCACCTACACAAAAAGCACCTTCATAAGAACCAAAAATCATGTGAGCAATCACAGTACCTTCATATTGCTGAAAGAGGCAGTGAAGAGGATAGAAAAGACAGTCTTGAATTGCTGACCCCAGCCCTCCCCCATGCGCTCGTAGCAACCACAGGGCACAGAGGAAGAATCTGCGCTGCACACGGGGAAAGAGCACAGCAACTGTGGGACTACAAGCCGGAACGCAGTGCTGCCAATCCCGGCAGAACTCAGCCAATGCCAATGAATGGAGCATTTAGACCAGCCCCAGGGACAGGACAATCACACAGCCTGGAGGTTGGAACTGGAGTTTCTGCAAGCCTCGCCACCACAGGCTAAAGTGCTCTGGGGTCCTAAATAACAGTAAAAGGCAGGCTAGGTCACAAGGACTGTAACTCCTAGGCAAGTTGTAGTGCTGGGCTGGGCTCAGAGCCAGTGGACTTGGAGGTACATGACCTAGTGAGACACCAGCCAATGCGGCTAAGGGAGCGCTTGTGTCACACATCTCCCAATCAAAGGCAGGAAGGCTCCCAGCTCCAAAAGAGATTCCGTCCTTCTCCTTGAGAAGAGGAGAGGAAAGGATAAACAGGACTTTGTTTTGCAACATAAATACCATCTCAGCCACAGTTGAATAAGGCATCAGGCAGAGTCGTGAGGTCCCCATTCTAGGCTCTAACTCCCGGGTGATATTTTTAGACACACCCTGGGCCAGAAGGAACCTGAAGGGAAGGATCAAGTCCAGGAAGAATTCACCACTTGCTGACTAAAGAGCCCTTAGACCCTGAATAATCACCAGCAGCAACCAAGTAACACACACTGTGGGCCTCAGCTAAGACTCAGACATGCAGACTTCAGGTGTGACCCGGCATATTCACAGCTGCGGTGGCTACGAGGAAAGACTCCTTCTGCTTGAGAAAAGGGGAGGGAAAAATAAAGGGGATTTTGTCTTGCAGATTAGGTACCACCTCAAACATAGTTGGGAGGAGCACCAAGTGGGTTCGTAGGGTCCCTGATTCCAGAGAACACTGGACGGCACCTCTGGAACTACCCTAAGCCAGAAGGGAACTCACTGCCCTGAAGGGTGGGTCCCAGGAATGGCGACATTCATGAAAAGCTGAGCCCTTGGGCCTTAAGTGAACAGTGACAACATTGTGGCAGTACTCCCTGTGGGCCTGTGTGGAGGTGGACACAGGGGGTGACTCCACTGCCTGGGGAGAGGAAAGGGATGGGTGGGAAGGACTGTGTCTTTTGATTTCAGTACCAGCTTAAACATAGTTGAATACAGTGCCAGGGAAATTTCTAAGGTTTCCGATTGCAGGCCCTGACTTCCAGGCACTCTGAACCTGTCCGGAGCCTGGAGCCCAGAGGAATTCACCACCCCGAAGGGAAATACACAAGAATGACTAGCTTCAGCCACTCTTGAAATAATGACTATAGCCTGAGTGCCTTAAGAGAACACAGCTTGCAGCCAGGTAATAGTTACAGCAGGACATGGGCAAGACACGGTGCTTTGCTGGCTTCAGATCTGACGAAGTACAGTCCCAACGATGGCGGCGACAGGAGTGCTTGTATCACCCCTCTCCAAGCTGCAGGCAGCTTAGCCAGAGAGAGAGAGAGACTGCACTCATTTTGGAGAAAGTAAGGGAAGAAAACAAGAGTCTCTACCTGGTAATCCAGAGAATTCTTCCAGATGTTATCCAAGACCACAGTATTAGTCCATTCTCACACTGCTATAAAGAACTGCCTGAGACTGGGTAATCTAGAAAGGAAAGAGGTTTAATTGACTCACAGTTCTGCATGGCTGGGGAGGCCTCAGGAAACTTACAATGATGGCAGAAGGCAAAGGGAAAGCAAGGCATCTTTTTCACAAGGCAGCAGAGGGGAGAATGA
Source organism: Homo sapiens (assembly GCF_000001405.40). NCBI lineage: Eukaryota > Metazoa > Chordata > Mammalia > Primates > Hominidae > Homo > Homo sapiens. The sequence continues at coordinate 195,357,916 of NC_000003.12, forward strand.
ACGCAGGAGGAATTACCAAACACTTACAAAACCATCAGATCTCATGTAATGCAATCACTATCACCAGAACAGCATGGGGGAAACCACTCCCATGATCCATTTAGCTCCACCTGGTCTCTCCCTTGACACGTGGGGATTATGGGGATTACAATTCAAGATGAGATTTGGGTGGGGACACAAAGCCTAACCATATCAACCACCAAGCTGGTATCTCTATAAGTGTCCAAGAACTACAGCATTACTAGTCTTGGGGTGCCCTCTAATGCAGATACAGCTGTAGGGACCAAAAACCTAGATAATAACAACTAAGTAGGTTTGAATACTTGGATAGCCTTCTCAAGAAGGATGAGTACAAACAAGCCCAGACTGTGAAGCCTACAATAAATATCTAATTCTTCAATGCCTAGATAATCACAAATATCCACTAGCATCAAGACCATTGAAGAAAACATAACCTCATCAAAAGAACTAAATAAGGCACCAGGGGCAAATCGGAGCAATGGAGATATGTGACCTTTCAGACACAGAATTCAAAATAGCTGCTCTGAGGAAACTCAAAGAAATACAAGATAACAGAGAAGAAATTCAGAATCCTATCAGATGAATTTAACAAAGAAATAATTTTTAAAAACCAAGCAGAAATTCTAGAGTTGAAAAATGCACTTGATATTTAAAGAACGTATCAGAGTCTCTTAACAGCAGAACTGATCAAGCAGAAGAAAGAATTCCTGAGACTTATGAGCCCTGTTTAAAAACAGAGAAGAAAAAAGAATAAAAAAGAATGAAGCATCCCTGTAAGATCTAGAAAACGGCCTCAATAGCAAATCTAAGAGTAAGGTAGAAAGAGAGAAATAGAAAGTTTATTCGAAAGGATAGTAACAGAAAATTTCTGAAACTGAGAGAAAGATACAAAACTTCAAGTAAAAGAAGGTTATAGAATACCAAGTAGATTTAACCCATTATTAGTTTAATAATCAAATTCCCAAAGATCAAGGATAAAGAAAGGATTCTAAAAGCAGCACAAGAAAAGAAACAATACAATGGAGCTCCAAAACATCTAGCAGTAAACTTTTCAATGGAAACCTTACAGGCCAGGAGAGAGAGTAGCATGACATATTTAAAGTGCTGGCAAAAAACTTTTTTACTCTAGAATAGCATATGAAGCAAAAATATCCTTCAAACATGAAGGATAATTAAAGATTTTCCCAGACAAACAAAAGTTGATGAATTTCATCAACACCAGACCTGTCCTACAAGAAATGCTACAGGGAGGTTCTTCACTCGGAAAGAAAAGGAGATTAATGAGCAAGAAGAAATCATCTGCAGGTGCAAGGCTCACTGGTGACAGTAAGTAGTACAAAGACAAACACGGAATACTATAACACTGTAATTGTGCTGTGTAAACTACTCCTATCTTAAGTATTAATAGAAAGGTGAAAAGATAAACCAAAAATAATGAGTATACCTTTTCAACAGAGACAATACAATAATATACACAGGGAAACAGTAAAAAGTTACAAAGTGAGGACACAGTGTTAAAGTATTGAGTTTTTGTTTGTTTGTTTGTTTTGAGACAGAGTCTCGCTCTGTCACCCAGGCTGGAGTGCAGTGGCGTGATCTCTGCTCACTGCAAGCTCTGCCTCCGGGGTTCACGCCATTCTCCTGCCTCAGCCTCCCAAGTAGCTGGGACTACAGGCGCCCGCCACCACGCCCGGCTAATTTTTTGTATTTTTAGTAGAGACGGGGCTTCACCGTGTTAGCCAGGATGGTCTCGATCTCCTGCCCTCATGATCCGCCCGCCCCAGCCTCCCAAAGTGCTGGGATTACAGGCGTGAGCCATCGCGCCTGGCCTAAAGTACTGTGTTTTTATTAGTTTTCTTTTTGTTGGCTTGTTTATGCAATCAGTGTTGATTTGCTACCGTAAGATACTATTTGCAAGCCTCATGGTAACCTCCAATCTACAAACATATAATAAATAAGCAAAAAATAAAAAGCAAGAAAAGAAAACATAACACCAGAGAAAATCACCTTCATTAAAAGGAAGACACTATGGAAGAGAAGACCACAAAACAACCAGAAAACAAATAACAACATGGCAGGTGTAAATCCTTACTCATCCATAACATTGAATGTAAATGGACTACACTCTCCAGTCAAAAGACAAAGAGTGGCTGAATGGATAAAGAAACAAGACGCAATAATCTGTTGCTTACAAGAGACACATCTCACCTATAAAGACAAAAACTGAAAATAAAGGAATGGAAAAAGATATTACATGCAAATGGAAACCAAAAGGAACAGAAACAGCTATATTTATATCACACAAAACAGACTTCAAGAAAAAAAAATTTTTAAGAGACAAAGAAGGTCATTATAATGATAAAGGGTTCAATTCAGCAAAAGAACATAACAAGTATAATTATATATGTACCAAACACTGGAGCACCAAGATATATAAAGCAAATATCATTAAAGCTAAAGGGAGAGACAGACCCCAATATAATAACAGCTGGAGACTTCAAAACCCCACTTTCAGCACTGGACAGATCATCCAGACAGAAAATCCACAAGGAAACATCAGACTTAATCTGCACTACAGGCCAGGTGCAGTGGCTCATGCCTGTAATCCCAGTACTTTGGGAGGCCAAGGCGGGCGATCACCTGAGGTCAGGAGTTCGAGACCAGCCTGGCCAACATGGTGAAACCCCATTTCTACTAAAAATACAAAGCTAGCTGGGTGTGGTGGCACGTGCCTGTAATTCCAGCAGTTTGGGAAGCCAAGGCAGGAGAATCACTTGAACCCAGGAGGCAGAGGTTGCAGTGAGTTGGGATCGTGCCACTGCACTCACTCCAGCTTGGGCGACAGAGTGAGACTCCATCTCAAAAAAATAAAAAAAAAAGGAAAAAGAAAAGAAAAAAAAAATCTGTACTATAGACCAAACAGGCCTAATGAATATTTAAGAACATTTCATTGAGGGGGTGTAGAACACACATTTTTCTTCCCAGCACATGAATCATTCTTAAGGACAGACCATATTGCTAGGTCACAAAACAAGTGGTAAGAAACTCAAAAAAAAAAAAAAAAAAAACCTGAAATAATATCAAGGATCTTCTCCGACCACAATGGAATAAAACTGGAAATAATGAGGAATTTTGGAAACTATATAAACACATGGAAATTAAACAATATGCTCCTGAATGACCAGTGGGTGAATGAATAGATTAGGAAAGAAACTGGGCTGGGCACAGTGGCTCAGGCCTATAATCCCCACATTTTGAAAGGCCAAGACAGGCAGATCACTTGAGGCCAGGAGTTTGAGACCAGCCTGGCCAACATGGTGAAACCCTGTCTCTACTAAACAATACAAAAATTAGCCAGGTGTAATGGCATGCACCTGTAATCTCAGCTACTCAGGAGGCTGAGGCATGAAAATCACTTGAACCCAGGAGGCAGAGGTTGCAGTGAGCAGAGATTGTGCCACTGCAATCCAGTCTGGGTGACAGAGCAAGACTCTGTCTCAAAAAAAAAAAGAAAAGAAACTAAAAAATTTATTGAAGCAAATGATAATGGAAACACAACAAACCGAAGCCTATGTATGGGATATAGTAAAAGCAGTATTAAGAGGAAAGTTTATAGCTAAGAGTGCCTACATCAAAAACAAAATACCTTCAAATAAACAACCTAATGATGCATCTTAAAGAACTAGAAAAGCAAAAGGAAACCAAACCTAAACCTAAAGTTAGCAGAAGAAAATAAATAAAGACCAGAGCAGAAATAAATGAAATTAAAAAGAAGAAAACAATACAAAAATCAACGAAACAAAAAGTTGGTTTTTCAAAAAGATTAAAAAACTGACAAACCTTTAGCCAGACTAAGAAAAGAGAAGACCAAATAAAAAAATCAGAGATGAAAAAGGAGACATTATAACCCATACTGCAGAAATTCTAAGGATCATTACAGGCTACTATGAACAACTATGCACCAATAAATTAGAAAACCTAGAATAAATGGATAAATTCCTAGACACATACAGCCTACCAAGATTGAAGCACGAAGAAATCCAAAACCTGAACAGACCAGTAACAAGACCAAAGCTCAAATAAAAAGTCTTCCAGGCTGTGCCCGGTGGCTCACTCCTGTAATCCTAGCACTTTGGGAGGCCAAGGTGGGTGGATCACCTGAGGTCAGGAGTTTGAGACCAGTCTGGCCAACATGGCTGAAACCCCGTCTCTACTAAAAATACAAAAAAATTAGCCAGGCGTGGTGGCACTTGCCTGTAATCCCAGCTACTCAGGAGGCTGAGGCAGGAGAATTGATTGAACCTCGGAGACAGAGGTTGCAGTGAGCCGAGATTGCGCCACTGCACTCTAGCCTGGGCAACAAGAGTGAAAACTCCATCTCAAAAAAAAAAAAAAAAAAATCTTCCAGCAAAGAAAAACCTGAGACCAGATGGCTTTACTTCAAAATTCTACCAAACATTTAAAGAACATCTAATACCAATCCTACTCAAACTATTCTGAAAAATAGCAAAGGAGGGAATACTTACAAACTCATTCTATGAGGCCAGTTATTACCTTGATACCAAAATCAGACAGAGATGCATAAAAAATAACCACACACACACACAAAACTACAGGCCAATATCTCTGATGAACACTGATGAAAAAATCCTCAACAAAATATAAGCAAACTCAAATTAAACAACACATTAAAAGGATTACCAACTGGGATTTAATCCAGGAATGTAAGGATTCAACATATGCAAATCAATGTGATACATAAAATTAAAGACAAAAACCATATGATGACTTCAATTGATGCTGAAAAAGCATTTGATACAATTCAACATAATAAAAACTCTCAAAAAACTGGGTATAGAAGAAACATACCTCAACATAATAAAGCCCATATACAACAGATCCAGAGCTTGTATAATAGTGAATGGGGAAAAACTGAAAGCCTTTTCTCTAAGATCTGGAAGAAGACAAGGATGCCCACTGTCATCACTGTTAATCAACTTATTATGGAAGTCCTAAGCTAGAGCAATAAGACAAGAGACTAAAATAAAAGCATCCAAATTGGCAAGAATAAAGTCAAATTATCCTTGTTTGCAAATGATATGACCCTATATTTGGACTAAAGACCACCAAAAAAACTATTACAACTGATAAATTCAGTAAAGCTGCAGGATACAAAATCAACACACAAAAATCAGTAGCATTTCCATAGGCCAACAGTGAAGAATCTGAAAAAGAAATCAAGGAAGTAATCCCATTTACAATTGCTACAAATAAAATTAAATACTTAGCAATTAACCAAAGAAGTGAAAGATCTCCACAATTAAAACTATAAAACATTGATGCAAAATGTTGAAGAGGACACAAATTAATGGAGAGACATTCTATGTTCATGAATTGGAAGAACTAATATTGTTAAAATGTCCAGGCCGGGCACGGTGGCTCATGCCTGTAATCCCAGCACTTTGGGAGGCTGAGATGGGTGGATCACCTGAGGTTGGGAGTTCGAGACCAGCCTGACCAACATGAAGAAACTCCGTCTCTACTAAAAATACAAAATTAACTAGGCGTGGTGGCACGCACCTGTGGTCCCAGCTGCTCTGGACAAAGAAAAAAGTAAAAGAAAAATACCAATGACAATCTTCACAAAAATAGAAAAAAAATCCTAAAAATTTATATGAAACCACATACACACACACACACACACACACACAAAAACAGAATAGCCAAAACTATCCTAAGCAAAAAGAACAAAACTGAAGAAATCACATTACCTCAAATTATACTACAGAGCAATAGTAACCAAAGCAGCATGGCACTGGCATAGAAACAGACACACAGACCAAAGGAACAGAATAGAGAACCCAGAAACAAATCCATACATCTAAAGTGAACTCATTTTCGACAAAGGTGCCAAGAACATGCAACAGGGAAAGGGCAGTCTGTTCAGTAAATAAAGCTCAGACAACTCCACTGCAGAAGAACGAAACTAGAGCCCTATCTCTTGCCATATATAAATATCAAATCAAAGTGGATTAAAGACTTTAAGACCTCAAATTATGAAACTACTAAAAGAAAACATTGGGGAAATTCTCCAGGACATTGGACTGGATAAAAATTTCTTAATACCCTACAGAAGCACAGGCAACCAAGGCAAAAGTGGACAAATGGAATCACATCAAGTTAAAAACCTTCTGCATAGCAAAGGAAACAATAAAGTGAAGAGACAATCCACAGGAGAAAATATTTGCAATCTATCCCTCTAACAAGGAATTTATAACAAGAATATTATAAAGGGCTCAAATAACTAGGAAAAAATCTAATAATCTAATTAAAAATGGGCAAAATATCTGAATAGACGTTTCTCAAAAAAGACATACAAATGGCCAACAGGCATATGAAAAGGCACCCAACATCAATGATCATCAGCGAACGCAAATCAAAACTACAATGAGATTATTTCACACCAGTTAAAATGGCTTTTATCCAAGGCTGGGTGCAGGGGCTCATGCCTGTAATCCCAGCACTTAGGGAGGCCGAGGCAGGAGAATAACTTCAACACCGGAGATGGAGGTTGCAGTAAACTGACACCCCGCCACTCTACTCCAGCCTGGGTGACAGAGCAAGACTCTGTCTCAAATAAATAAATAAATAAATAAAATAAAGGTTTTTATCCAAAAAACAAGCAATTAACAAATGTTAGTGAGGATGTGGAGAAAAGAATACCCTTGTACACTGTTGGTGGGAATGTAAATTAGTACAACCACTAAGGAAAACAGTTTGGAGATTCCTGAGAAAACTAAAAATGGAGCTACCATACCATCCAGCAATCCTACTCTCAGACGTATATCCAAAACAAAAGAAATCTGTGTATCAAAGAGATATATGCATTCTCACGTTTACTGTAGCATATTTACAGTAGCCAAGATTTGGAAGCAACTTAAGTGTACATCAACAGATGAATGGTTGCAGAAAATGTGGTACATATACACAATGCAGTACTAGTCAGCCATAAAGAAGAATGAGATCCTGTCATCTGCAACAACATGGACGAAACTAGACGTCATTATGTTAAGTGAAATAAGCCAGGCACAGAAAGATAAACCTCGCGTGTTCTCACTTATTTGTGGGAGGTAAAAATTAAAACAATTGAACTCATAGAGAGTAGAATGATGGTTAGCAGAGGCTGGGAAGGCTAGGTGGAGGGTAGGGGGACGTGGAGGTGGTTAATGGGTACAAAATACAGTTAGAAAGAATGAATAGAACCTAGTATTTGCTAGCACAACAAGGTGACTATAGTCAAAAATAATTTAACTGCTCATTTTAAAATAACAAGGTGTATAACTGGATTGTTTGTAACACAAAGGATAAATGCTTGAGGTGTTGGATACCCCATTTACTCTGATTATTACACATTATCAAAATATCCCATATCACATATCCCCTAAATACACACCTACTATGCACCCACAAAAATTTTAAATAAAAAAATGTTGCTAATATTGTTTTAAAGAACAAAATTATCAGGGCATTGTGGCATACACCTACCATCCTGAGGTGGGAGGATTCCCAGAGCAGTGCTATGATCATGCCCCTGCACTCGAGCCTGAGTGACAAAGGGAGACCTTGTCTCTAAAAAAAAAAAAACACATTAAGTATTACTCAGCTACCATAGCACTCTCTTCTGATGATTCTCCATGACATAATCATTCCTGTCCTTTCCGGAATCTATAGAAAAGGGCAAGGCTATGGCTTGTGCCACTATAGATTCATTGGATCTTTTGGTTAATCTCATTAGGCCTAAAATCAATGAAGAGAAAGAGAACTCTTCTTTGCAATCATCAGGAATTGCTCGCAATATGTCAATGAATATTATTTATTCCTCTCTACTTCATCTGCCTATAGTAATTTTTTTTTTTTTTTTTGAGACAGTGTCTTCCTTTGCCGCCTAAGCTGGAGTGTAGGTGGCGCGACCTTAGCTCACCGCAACCTGCACTTCCTGGGTTCAAGCAATTCTCCTACCTCAGCCTCCTGAGTAGCTGGGATTACAGGCACGCGCCACCACACCCGAATAATTTTTGTATTTTTAGTAGAGATGGGGTTTCACCACGTTGGCCAGGCTGGTCTCGAACTCCTGACCTCAAGTGATCTGCCCACCACCTTGGCCTCCCAAAGTGCTGGGATTACAGGCGTGAGCTACCATGTCTGGCCCTTCTACCTGTACTAATTTGTTTCTCCAAACCTTTTCTTCCTTCCTCTAAGGCAGTGGTTCTCCACTGGCTTAGTGTTGTATCACAATCACATGGAAAACTAAAAGAAAATACAAAGATGCAATCTTGTTGAAGAAACATAGGCTGCTTCTATATTTTTAGGAAGTTTGCCAGATGATTCTGTTATACAAACATTGGTACCAAACTGCTCTACCCAGTGGTTCTCAAATTGGTTGCACATTGAAATAACTTGGGCAACTTTTAAATACACAGATGTTGCAATAATTAGAGACACTGGTGACTCCAGAATCAGTATTTTAAAAGCTTGCCAGGTGTGACCAAACATTACCGCCATCACCTGGGAGCTGGTCAGAACTATAGAATCGCTAGAACCACCCCAGTCTTGTTAGAAATGGAGAATCTGA